>NC_000004.12:179830471-180133502 GCF_000001405.40 Homo sapiens | reverse complement strand
TTTATTGTTATTTTTAAATTTTTACTTCTCTAGAAATACAGTGATAGTAAAAGCAAAAGCTAATGTCGTCTCTTCCAGTCATTTTAAACTGTGATATACTTATTATTACAATGATTACTTTAAAATACATTCTCATTGCATGAAAATTACATTTTTAAAGATGTTTGTATTCCATACTAGAAAAAAAAACAGTAACACAGGGATACGTTAGTGCCTTAAAAGGGTCATAACATTTTAGATTTCAAACATTATTTTGAGACTTTTCTGTTTCATCTTCCATAAACAGTGAGAATGCTGGGTGCAGGTATCAGTGATTGCTCAGTGCTATACCAGATTTTAGTGTTCAAACTGAGATGTAAATTCTAGTCTACTGACCTGTGCTTTGTTTTCTGTTTTAAATATTTCATTTACAAAAGAGACATATTTGCTACGCTTAAACCTGGACTATTGTCTCTTTCAAACATCTGATTACTACTGTTAAGTAAATGGAGTCGCTGTATTGCAGCTCACTTTGAGGAAAATCATAAGCAAAGGATACTTCCTACTCCAGATATCTGCTGCTAACTCTGGTCAAAGTAGTGGAGCCAGTTTTGTCTGATCTCTCCCATATTGATTACATGCTGTTTGGTCTTCTTTAGTGTTTTTTTTTTTACCATAATTGGCTTTTATTCAACTTTTTTATTACTGATGACAGAGTATAATAGTCAATATAATGATATGTTGTATTGTTAGAATCTTTACAGCCATGCAAAGACAACCTTTGTTAGATAAGACATGCACATATTTAATACAAAATACTGATGAAAATAATAAACTACTGCTATTGCTACTCCCACTCCATATCTTGTTTGGGGTGTCATGTGAGCCAATTCATAGGAAACACTTTGGAGATAGCTCTTTGGACAATAATACTTTCACTCTAATTTGCCACTGACATTTATTTTGTCTTATGACACAACAGTCACATCATCATGACAAAAATCTCAACTAGTGTCTATTTTGCATCCTGATAGCTAGGATGCTTTCGTATTGGAATAACAAAAGAAAAGAAAATGGTGACACTGAATAGAACATGAAAAAGGATCTATCAGATATCCTGATTAGGACTAGTAGAGTTAAAAATCTGAAAATGAGTGCATATATATATATATATATATATATATATATATATATACCCCATTTGATATTCTGTATTTCCTCAGTATTTCTTAATCAAATAGAGTCTTGATTCTCTTTGAGAATGCTGTATAAAGGCTTGTGTCTGCATGCATGTGTGTGTGTGTGTTCACACATTTTCTTTCCAAGATATGTACTCCCACACTGGGACTTTTACATGTTTGTAGTTATAATTTACATAAAATTTCCCTGTTCATTTGCTACTTCACTTCACACAGAATGAAAATGAAATAAATCTAGACCTAGATAATTACAAAGTTATTTATTCACATGATCAAAATTCATATTAGTATTGTTATGTCTTTTTCTTTTTTCATTTTCATATAGTTATTTCTTTCTTCCAAAAAAGAAGAAAATTCTAAATTTTGCAAATAAAAGCACTAAATAAATCCTACACATTTTATTTTGATATCTTGAAGGGAAGCTGAAGACTATGTCTTGATAACATATATTCCCTCTCTGGTAGTCATGTGTATTACATGTTTTATTACAAATGTAAGAGAGCTATATAATTGATTTTGCACAATCTCAGTCTACAAAGATAACCATTATTAATGTTTTGATACATCATGACACATTTGACCCTAAACCCTGAAAAGCATGGATGATGTATATTTACACAGTTACAGTTGGTGTTTTTAAATAAAACTGGAATCGTACTCTTTAACAGTGCTGTACCATCATTTGTCTCTTTTAACAATATCATTTGATCGGTTTTGACTTTTCATTTTAATATGTACAATTTAGAAAACACTGACTATAAATCCCATGTTACTAAAAAAACAAAATCAAAAAACAAAACTGGGGTTCACATCGGTCACGTTGCTAAAGGACCTTAGTCTCATACAAGAAGCCACTAGGTATCCAAGTTGGAAACCAAACACCATTATTTCTTTTGTCACTAGTTCAAGGAATCGTACTCAGCAAGTTCTTCCTTATTGTTCTTATCTGTGTCCATAAGAATTGTGAATTTATATTTTGCATTTAAAGTCATTTAAGAATTTATATGCAGACTTATTTACAGAATTTCAAGGTGTCTTCAGAGTCTGTCTGTAAATAAATAGACAAGTATTTACTGATTTTAATCCTGGCTTACATGACGGTTAGTGTTGCTAACACTGGGAAGTTTGAACTGACATCTTTATCTCATCTCTTCTTACACAATGGCAGTTTGGTCAGAGGAGTGTATATTTGTCTTCCATAAAATGATGACCCAAATGGCTTTAAATAAGGATGATTTACCTTCTTATTTAAACAAATATAGCTTGCATCATGTAGGTAAAATTTATTCTCTTTTTAATAGCCTGAGAACTATACTGCAGTTTTTTTTTTTGTTCTTGTTTTTGTTTTTTTCTGAAAAAGCAATTTTATTTTCAAATTTTAAGAAGGTGATCCAAGATTGTTTTCTTGAAAGGCTTATATAGTTGATTATATCTTTAATTCTTAGCAAAACCCTTAAAATGATCCTAATATTAAGTACATTGACAAATTTTAGGTAAACAAAAAAAGTCTTTAAGAATTTTTTATCAGAATATCGAATGGAAAGGTAGCTCCTGTAAAAATCATGATTCAGAGTTGAAGCTTCCTACTTTATCAAATAACCAAAACCAGATATTATGTCAAGCCTGTAATGGTTTCCAATGCACACAACAATTTGAGATTTTTCTTTCAAATGATGTTTCCGTCAGTAAAGTAACATTTCTATTTAAAAATAAAATCAGTGATCCCTGAAGTTTTCAAAATGGGCTCCCAAAGTATTATTCTTCATTGATTGTGTCGGTATGAATAACTGATAGATGTTAGTAGTTCTTTCATTTACTTGTTGAATGGAAATTGTGTAGCTTTTATTTCTCTTTGATATTCAAAATAGTAGATGAAATGTCATTGATCTGGGATGAATGTAATAGTTTGAATGAGGCATTTATTTTTCAAATTTTCTTTGTCTCACCCCCAGGGATTGAGGAACTGAATTTTTTCCAGGACACAAAGAAACCAAGGTATCTCAAATTGTTTGTGATTTTTTTCAAAAGCTTATTACAATAAGCAACCCTGCATAATACTTAATGATACACATTTTGTTTTGGAAAATCCACACATCAAAACAATAAGGTTCTAGACATTTTAGACCAGGTCTTTTCTATAAGAAATTCATACCTTTCAGACTGGGCACAGTGGCTCACACCTGTAATCCCAGCACTCTGGGAGGCTGAGGCAGGTGGATCACTTGAGGTCAGGAGTTCGTGACCAGCCTGGCCAACATGGCAAAACCCAGTCTCTACTAAAAATACAAAACTTAGTCAGGCATGGTGGTGCGTGCCTAGTAATCCCAGCTAATTGGGAGGCTGAGGTAGGAGAATCACTTGAACCCGGGAGGTAGAAATTGCAGTGGGCCAAGATTACACCACTGCTCTCCAGCCTGTGCAACAGAGCAAGATTCCAGAAAAAAAAAAACAAAAAAAAAACGTACCTTTTAATGCACTTTTTCATTAAACTGTTTTGATGTGAGAGAATTAAAGATTTCCATGAAGTCATAAGAAATAATACCAGAGATTTTATGTAACTTTACCTAGATTTTCCCAACAGTAACGTTTCACAAAACTTTGATTCATATCACAACCAGGGTATTGACTTGTAAACAGTAAAGATAAAGAACATTTTCGGCTGCATAAATGTCTTCTTTTGAGAAGTGTCTGTTCATGTCCTTCACCCACTTTTTGATGGGGTTGTTTGTTTTTTTCTTGTAAATTTGTTTGAGTTCATTGTAGATTCTGGATATTAGCCCTTTGTCAGATGAGTAGGTTGCGAAACTTTTCTCCCATGTTGTAGGTTGCCTGTTCACTCTGATGGTAGTTTCTTTTGCTGTGCAGAAGCTCTTTAGTTTAATTAGATCCCATTTGTCAATTTTGGCTTTTGTTGCCATTGCTTTTGGTGTTTTGGACATGAAGTCCTTGCCCACGTCTATGTCCTGAATGGTAATGCCTAGGTTTTCTTCTAGGGTTTTTATGGTTTTAGGTCTAACGTTTAAATCTTTAATCCATCTTGAATTGATTTTTGTATAAGGTGTAAGGAAGGGATCCAGTTTCAGCTTTCTACATATGGTTAGCCAGTTTTCCCAGCACCATTTATTAAATAGGGAATCCTTTCCCCATTGCTTGTTTTTCTCAGGTTTGTCAAAGATCAGATAGTTGTAGGTATGCGGCGTTATTTCTGAGGGCTCTGTTCTGTTCCATTGATCACATGAAAAAATGCTCATCATCACTGGCCATCAGAGAAATGCAAATCAAAACCACTATGAGATATCATCTCACACCAGTTAGAATGGCAATCATTAAAAAGTCAGGAAACAACAGGTGCTGGAGAGGATGTGGAGAAATAGGAACACTTTTACACTGTTGGTGGGACTGTAAACTAGTTCAACCATTGTGGAAGTCAGTGTGGCGATTCCTCAGGGATCTAGAACTAGAAATACCATTTGACCCAGCCATCCCATTACTGGGTATATACCCAAATGACTATAAATCATGCTGCTATAAAGACACATGCACACGTATGTTTATTGCGGCATTATTCACAATAGCAAAGACTTGGAACCAACCCAAATGTCCAACAATGATAGACTGGATTAAGAAAATGTGGCACATATACACCATGGAATACTATGCAGCCATAAAAAATGATGAGTTCATGTCCTTTGTAGGGACATGGATGAAACTGGAAACCATCATTCTCAGTAAACTATTGCAAGAACAAAAAACCAAACACCGCATATTCTCACTCATAGGTGGGAATTGAACAATGAGATCACATGGACACAGGAAGGGGAATATCACACTCTGGGGACTGTGGTGGGGTGGGGGGAGGGGGGAGGGATAGCATTGGAGATATACCTAATGCTAGATGACGAGTTAGTGGGTGCAGCGCACCAGCATGGCACATGTATACATATGTAACTAACCTGCACAATGTGCACATGTACCCTAAAACTTAAAGTACAATAAAAAAAAAAAAGAACATTTTCATCATCACATAGATCCCTCATGTTGTCTTTTGTTGTTAAACTCCTTCTCTGCCTCACCTCCCGTTCCTGATTCCTGAAGACCATTAATGTGTTCTCTATTTCCATAATTTTGTCATTTCGAGAATATTATACAATGGAATCACAGAGTATGTACATTTTGGGGACTTTTTTTTTCATCCAGGTGCAATGCCCTGGAGATTAAATAAAGCTGTTGTGTTTTTCAGTAGTTTATTATTCTGTAATATAAAAGATTCCAGAATATAAAGGTACCAGTTTATTTAACCCTTCATCTGCTGAAGGCTTTCTTGGACATTTTCAATTTGGGGTTATTACAAATAAAGCTGCTCTGAATATTCATGTATGGGTTTTTGTGTGAACAGTTTTCATTTCTATGGGGTAATGCATTTTTATAATGCATGGCTATCCTTTAGTTTTGTTGGATTCATATTTCCTCTGATATTACTATTTCCATGAAAAGAACATGCAGCTTCTCATCAATGATGAAGTAATACCACAGGTTTATCACCATGGTTTCTTAGTCACAACAAGGAACACTGATTTTCTGTGATTAAAACTGAAAGGTAATATGTTGAAAAGTTTTAAGGTGGCTCCTGTAATCAGCAGGCAGGAGAACTGGGTTTTCAACTAGGGTGGAAACGAGAAATGCTAGGTAACAACCAGGATCATAGCAAAAACCTAACAAGAAATATGACAAAGACACTACAACCACAATCACAATGACAGTGGCCTTTACATCTTACATAGATGCCCAAAACTCTGCAAACCACTGAACAGTTATTCTTATAAATTAGATAATTCTCTCAACAGTTCTGCTATTGCCAGAATGAATCCCTCATTATCAGTAGCACGCAGGTTTATATATCTTAGATATCCTACAGAATGTCCACCAAAATCTGGAAGCCCAGCGTAAATAATGTATTGTATTTATGATGTATTTATGATGCTTTTTCTGATTCACAATTGAATTGATGACTTTAAACTTAAAGTTCCTTTATTGAAGAAATATATTCAGATTAAAGAGAAATACATTGGTCATATGATATTAAAATGTAACTTACATATTGTATAAAAGTAAGTTCGTTCTGTTTTGAATGCACTTTTGAATGCACGGTATTCCTCTCTATCAATCAATATACATTATGAATAAACTGGCACAGCTATTGATATTTGTGTGTTTAGTCTCATTTTTATTGACTGCTTTATTGCAAAGAGTGTAGCAAGACATCAACCAGGCCATCGTAACATTTTGAAAGTTCCAAAAACTGTTTCATCTACCTGTCCTTTAGATTCCCTTTCCTCTTACCTCCTCCATGACCTTTTCCAACAATTATGTGTGCTGCCTTTATATTTTTAAAATGATGATCCATCTGTTCTCATTGTCTCCACTTCCAGACCTCCCAGTAATTTCTAAACTGCTAAAGTCTGGTTTCTGACCCTTCTATGACCCTTCCATTCTACTGAAATCCTTCTACTACCTCTAAATTGACAAATTACTCTCATTTTTCTTTATACCTCTGCATTGTCTAACTGGTTAATCACTCACTTCTTAAACAACTCATTTGGCCTGTTAAACACCACTCTCTCTCTCTCTGGTCTTCTTAACAGTCCTCAAACTAATTATTCTCAGGCATATTTTCAGTTTTCTATTCTTTTATTTCTTAAATGTAGGTGTTCCCATGGGTTTCACTTTAAGTTTCCTCTCTTTTCTTCTATACAATGTTCCTAGATAATCTCATTCATCACCGGTGATCTACTCTGACCTACTAATAATCTATAGATTATTAGTAGGTCATAAATCTATGTATCTGTTCAAATTTCTTCTATAGTGCCAATGAAAGTAACAAAAAGTAACAAAACCTATAGCCTCTGCCAAAAAAAAAATACCTCTGGGCAATGTCTCATATGCTTTTCATAGATTATCACATCCCATTCTCACGGGGACAGTATATGCTATTGTAACTCTGTCAATGTGATAGATGAAGACACGAAGGCTTAAAGACATTATTAACTAATTACCCAAAGTTACACAAATTTGAAGTGGTCAGGTTGGGAGTTGAAGCAGGCGGTTGTCTCCAGGAGCACAACTAAACTCTATGTTAGGTTCCAAACATGGATTTCAAATGGTTTAGTGAGTATATAAATGTTCCTCAGATACTTACAATTAAAAATCATACAGGAAATGTATTTCCCTTGAAATTTGTTTTTTCTATTCAATTCCTTAATGGTGCATATCCCTCTCAATCCTCATAAGCAGAACCCCAGGTTTTATTTTAAATTCCTTCCTCTGGCTCACTCCCACATCTAAACAATCAGTAATTCCAACTGAATTCCGACTGCTGAATGTGTATTCAGCCTCTCTATGGCTCTCCTTCTGTAATACATTTTCTTGTTTCAGGATCGTTATCATCCCTCTCTGGAATATTACAAGTCTTCCGAAAGAGATCTGCCTTGCTCCAATCTTTCTTATCCTGTGGTCAGCGTAGAACTTTGCTGAAATACTTACCTAATTATATGGTTATTCGCAGCATTAAATCAAATTTATTTGCATTACACGTATCTCTGCCTTACCCCTCCCCTTTCCTCCACTCTCTTTCAGACTCTATATTCTATATATTTTGATGTCGTTTAACTTTTTAGCAAGAATCATTTTTTCTCAGCCTCATTTGTATTTTTGCACTCAGTAGTCCTTCTGGATTCAGTTTATCATCATCTCCTCTGGAAAGACTTTTCTGACCACAGAAGCCGTGATTGACCTTAGCCCCCCACTGTGCTCCTTTTTCCATTTGAGATTTCTTTTATCTTACAAAGGCAGCATGAGATTTGAAGCCCAATACACTTGCTTCAGATACCCATTTTCTATTTGTGAGATCTTGAAGAATTTACTTAAACTATTTGTATTACAGCTTTCATATCTATAAAATGATTGCACTTTACATCTACATCAAAGTGCTGATGTGAAAATACTAGTAATATAAATAGTACTTTTACATAGTATAAGTATGCCAAAAATGCTAGCTAGTACAAAATTATCTCTCTAGTTTGTTAGAAGCTAGACAGTTAATTTTTTATCTCCCCCACTACAATGACTGTAGCTTTTTAGTACTCTGTTGAATTCTCCAGCCCATCATATAGTGAGTATTTGACCATTTTTAATGCACAAATGATGTTTTAATATAAATGATTTCAAGTTATGATTACTCATAAACTTGCATAAATCTATTATTATCCAAAACATTAACATGTTCTATTATATGTCTTTATTCTTAAAATGCTAAAATCCGAAATAAAATGGTTTTTAGAAATAATTGGTACACAGAAGCCAGCCATACCAAGGTTTGCTGGCAACAGAAAGAAGAGCAAGTACCAATACCATGGGGTAGGACAACTCAGCAGGCTCAAGGAATGTGAAGAAGATCAAAAATGCAGGAGAAGACAGAATCATAGGGACAGAGTGTGCACAGGTCAGCAAAGGCCTAAAGGTAATAGGCTGGAAGAGGGCTCCAGGTTTAATTAAGGAGCAATGGGATGTCTTGGAGGACCAGGGGTAGACATCCACTGTGTAATTCCTCCGTGGAGAATGTGCTGTAATGGAGGGGGTCAGAAGCAGAAAGACAAGCCAAGATGCTATTGCGGTGATTGGGGGAAGAAGTATTGTAGGGATAAAACAGAATTGACAAGAGTGCACAGCTTCTCTTCACTGTATCACTCAGCTGGGACAAATTTTTTCAGAGCATCAAAATTTCTTTTCATTACATTATTTGTTAACCAATATTTAATCAATGTCTGCACTCTGTGTGTTGGGCATTATTTGGGGTGCTAGAGACACAAGCAGCAAAAATAGGCCAAAAAAATGGACCTTACGGAACTTTCATCCTAGTAGGGGCTGGGAAAATAGGTAAACAAAAAAAACCTAAATAAATGAATGAAATAATATATTTGACAGTGACACATTCTTAAAAAAAAGGCCAGAAAATGCCATGGTAAGTGAAATACTGGAATTTCAATAGGCTGAACAAAGGAGACCTCAGTGTATCAGACTTGGTTAGACGTAGACACCAAGTCGGGAAGACATCTTGAGGAAGAACATGTCAGATCTGCAAATGGAAAGAAATACTACAAGATATTCTAATCTGGGTTTCTATTGGTGGTTTTGGAGAGTAATGATTTGAGTTTCTCTGATGACTCGCAAACTTGTTGCCCAAATTTGCCATGCTCCCATGGCTGAAAACAGATCAGTGAAACTGGAAAGCCCAGGCTCATACTTCCAGACACGCTGAATGAATGCTTCCTCTCATGCACCAACCCTCAGGTGCTTTCTACTACTCCACCCTGTCTATCACACTGACTTCAAAAGAAGCTGCAAGGACTACAGTATCAGTAGTACAACATAGTTTTGACTCTCCTTGACATTCCACGATGTGAACTTCTGCACTCAGCTTACAGAGAGAAAGCACCCGGTATGTGAATCCTTAGAGATGATAGGAAAGAAAACAGTTTGAGAGGTCAACATGGTCACATATTTGAAGGCAGACAAAACCAAGAGAAAATAACCCCCTGAAATATACCCAATAAACAAGTCCATTCTCTTTGGTCATTTGTCCCCTGTCCCTGTTTCCCCTGTGAGTTGTGGCTATTGCTCTACCAGATGCTTGTTGTGTTTGAGAGAATTATGGTTTCAGCAAAGCACCAGGGCTATTAAACCAGTTGCCATAACCTCCAGCCTTGTTCTTACATGGTTCCTGCACAAGTCAGATCCCTACAGACACTGCTATTTCCATGAGGTGCTTGATGCTGCCATTACCCTGCAGATATTCCACTCCACACTGCAGTCTGCATTACTAAGTTACAGAACACGGCAGCCACCTGCCAGTGGTCATCACTATGTCTCTGGCTATAGTTAGTCCCTGATCTCTTCTGCTCTTGGTATCTTGATGCTACCATTCATGATTTGAGTCATGAATGCCTTTAGATAAGTTATTTATACAGCAGCTTTTAGATAAGTGCTTGAGGAAGACCTGCTCTGTCCTCTTTCTTTATTTAGAGGCATCCCAAACACCCTAATATTTTATCAAGTTTATAAGAGAATCATTTCAGTGGTCACTTACCGTTCTCTTATTCTCTGTGAATTTCAGGTCCAATGGTAGTTTCACCAGGAAATAAATGCAATTTTCAGTAACTATACTGCATTCAGAATTCTGCCTCCCTCTGAAAACTAAGACTTCCTCTCTGAGCCAAGATGTTTATGCCTGGGACTTTATTCCTGCAGGATGACTTATCCAGTGATAAATAAATCAGTATTCATGCAACACAGTTTTCTTCCTGGCCCATCCTACTTGTTTATTAGACATTTCCAGATGTAGCACAGTCTAATACAGACTCAAACTGAAATCTCTGTTGCAAATACGTGGAAGAGAAACAAAATATAAGTAGATTTTTATATTATGGACCAAATAAAATAATATATGTGAAAGTTCTTATTGATAAATATTGGGAATAATCCAGTGAGCATCCACTGGTCTCTCCATTTTATTTTTACTTTCTTGCTCCAGGATAAAGGCTAAAAGGCTCAGTACTAGGTAAATCATGTTACTATTCTGTTTTGACTTTGATAAAAGCACACCGTTCTAAAGGTATTCCCTTTCTCCACCTCACACTGACCATCCAGCACATTCTCATTCTAATAGCTGAGCTATCACTTTCACCTTCATTCCAAGTTCCTGTTTTTGTAATCTACTTCACACGTCAGCCCCTTCCATTTTCCTAGCTTGGTATCTGGAAAATATTATGCCCTTAATAAATGGTCACTGATTGAGTAATGTATTGCAAAAAACAAATGGCAGACTAGATAATTCAATTATAAAGAGAGCCCTCATTAATGAATTTGTGATCTTTACTATAACTCTCAGCCTTCCAGCTTTAGCCACAGAGTACGGATTTTATTTGAATAGCTACTCTAGTTTATCATGTCCTCCAGATATTGTAAAATGCAGTGTGATTTTTATCATATGATGATCTGAGAAAAATGAAATAAAATGTCACCAATTTCGACTTCATTAAATTTGAGATTTGTGATCATTTACCACGCTTCGGCCTAAAGGCTGCTTTAATAATATAATAAACAAATAAGTTGCTTGCAGTATATAACAGGAGGAATGTTAAACCCTTTGGAAAAAACACATTAATTGCTATATGCCAGCTGAAGCTACTAATTATAAATAAATTTGGGTTGAGTACATCTACTTTGAAACACATTCTGCTTAATAATAGCAACCAAAAAATAAAAAACCATGCATTTCTTTTCAAATTAGAATTTTCATGTAATCATAGCAGATATTTTATTTATTTGTAATGGTTTTTATATAATCATGAAAATTATGAACTTGAAGTTATATTCCAAATAATGTAATACAAACTCTTATTGGATAGATGTGAAAACTGAGGTCAACTGAGGTGATTTTTGTGACACACTCTGTTAAGGTCTAAGCCTGGTCTTCCCATCTCAGATTTCCTACTATTGCAGGATACTTCTCTCATTCTTTCTTCTCATTAAAACAAATTAGTAAAATTTTCATACAGTCAACACTTTTTTGAAAAAAAATTACTTTTTGACCTACATTTTGTAAAATATAAAATAAAAGATAAGATTAGCTGATTAGCTCTAAAATTGTATCAGGCTGTAAAACTCAATAATTTACCTCCTCTGAAATCTTAGAACCTTTTTTTGTAACTTTCTTAAGAGAATCTCTACTTTCTATCTGATGGAAAATACTCTCAGATATTGGTTACATTACAAGTTACATTACATTACTTTTACAAGTCTATAATTACTCTGAAAGAATGTGGTTCCCTTATTTTAAGAATAATTAAATATTTGTAGAAGAAAAGATGCTGTGACCACAAATCCTGCTCTGTTTTGTCTTGTGTGTGTTTCTTACTAGTTTATAAACCTAGTTAAAAAATGCTAAAATTTCAAATAAAAAATATTTCATTGGGCCTAGGAAAAACAGATAATATTTTTTGTCCATTTTATTCATTGTTCACATTATCTTAATTTGAACATTTGGATTTAAAAAATACTGGAAAAACACTTTTTATACAAATAGGAGATAAACATTTTTCACTAAATTTTTTTTTAGTTTTAAAAATTTTTATGTACTACCATATCTTCAATGTACCCATATATCCTAGTGATACTAGTGATACCTTAGTAGAAATATAAGTGAGTTAAACACCTTGATTGATTTGGGCTTATTAAAACAAAAACATATATATATCAGTTAGTTACTTAAAATATTTTTGTCCTTAATTGTAGCTAGTTTACAATGGAATATGTCATTTAAAATTAAGTTGAGAAGAAAATATGCTATAATCAGGCTGAGGAAAAAAATGTGTTTTAAAGGTTTAAGTTATAGTCTGTAAAAGTGACGTGAACTAATTTAACTTTGAGATCTTTCATAGAACAGGAATAAGGTTTCTGAATATTTGGCAAGTCAGCTATAGTTAAAATGAAATATTTACCCTCAGAGCATGAAATATTGCTCATATTTTGGAAAGAGTATAAAGAAACAATTAAATTTTGATTTGTGTTTATATTTTTATTAAAACACTCTACTCTGAAAATTACTAATTTTAGAAATATCTTTTTGTTTGACAGAAAATCTTTCACAACACTAAATTCTTTTATTCCTTTGTGCTGTATCCTTCCCTGAATACAAGCTAGGGGTTGGCCCCAAAGTTATTTATTTTCTTTAAATATAAAGTAAAACAGATCAACTACTATGAAATTATGATCTATTGACTGAAGCATTCATCATTACATTTAAACTACCTGTGTAAAATTTGTGTTTGGAAGCTCTTGGAGTCAATGAGAGAGCATACCCCAGGTATCGTTTCCCACTCTGTGGCTGTAGAGATGATTGCAAAGGCATCAAGGTCAAGCCTGCGGTTGGCAGAACAAGAGTGAAAGCTGCAATATCTCTCATTTAATCTCAGTGCATTGGTGTTTCTGAAAAGGGAAAACTGCTTTATGGAACTGTCTCCAGACGTTAGTCAAAGTACTGAACATGCTGCCAGCTATTTGCTGGAAACTCCCTCTTGTTAGTATGTGGGGTAGATGAACAGTGGAGAAGACTCTTCCCTACTTTACCCTTCAGTTAATATGAACATTAAGTGCAGTACCCTTCCTGGCCTTTTTATTTATGTATGCATTTGGGCATTTTATCTTTTATTTTTCCTTGCCCTGTCATTTCTTTCCTTTCTTCCACTCTTCTGCCTCCTAGCTCCTTCACTTCTTACCATAAGAAAAAATGTCATAATTCATGTAAGTAACATATTCCATTTTCTCCAGCAAAATATCTGTTATTCAACCAGGACAAAGCTTGAATAAAGAGAATCAAAAGCAAAGGAAATATTTGTATAATGGGAAGTGGAAGCTCATGTAACCAACTGGCTCATAATGAACTCTCTTTTCCTTTTTTTTTTTTTTTTTTTTCACTAAAACTACTGATATCTAGAGGTTAAATGCTGCTAGGAAGGAGATGAAGGAATGTGCTTAACAAGTCCATGGGCCTATCCAGAAGGAAAGCTTCAAATTCCCACATTTCTCCCTCCTAAGATTCAAACTTAGAGGGAATTGTTTAGGCAGGGTGCCCTTGACAGAGCAAGTAAGAACAATTTTTATAAAACAAAGAATTAGTATATACAGGTGATTAGATCCACTTGTGATGACCAGTCACTACACCAAGTTGGATTTTAGGTGTAGTTGACAACGATGAGTTTAAAAAATGAAATTATTTCACCCAGGTCTCCTAAGGCAGATAGGTAGCATGGGAGAAACCTTATGTTTTTTTTTTTTTTCTTTTTTCTTTTACAGATGAGGTCTCACTCTGTTGCCTAGGCTGGAGTGCAGTGTTGCGATCATAGCTCACTGTATCTTCAACCTCCTGGGCTCAAACAATCCTCCAACTTCAGTCTCCTGTGTAGCTGGGACTACAGACATGCACCACCACCACACCTGGCTAATTCTTTCATTTAATTTTCTAGAGACAGGGTCTCACTGTGTTACCCAGGCTAGTCTTGAACTCCTGGCCTGGTGTGAGCCACTATGTCTAGCCTTTCCTCAAAGTATTTTGGGCTGAAATATTTCTGAAGGGAGGTGAATTAGTTCGTTTTCATGCTGGTGATAAAGACATACCTGAAACTGGGAACAAAAAGAAGTTTAATTGGACTTATAGTTCCACATGGCTGGGGAGGCCTCAGAATCATGGTGGGAGGTGAAAGCCACTTCTTACATGGCAGCGGCAAGAGAAAAATGAGGACGAAGCAAAAGCAGAAACCCCGATAAACCCATCAGATCTCATGAGACTTATTCACTACCACGAGAATGGCATGGGAAAGACCGGCCCACATGATTCATTTACCTCCCCCTGGGTCCCTCTCACAACACGTGGGAATTCTAGGAGATCCAATTCAAGCTGAGATTTGGGTGGGGACACAGCCAAACCATATCAGGAGGTAAAGTATCCTTCCATAAATCTTACCCACTTCAAATGTGTAAGAGCCACTTCGGCCACAAACTATTTCCTGGAGCACACGCTGGACATGCACACAGAGCCTGTTTTGGTGACCCTGTGGCCTCCAACCATTCTGTCAACAGCCATGTCTGTTTATGCACCATTGAATTATGCATGTTTCCCACAGTGCATGGCAGTGGCTGCATCACACATATGATGCACCCAATTAATGTGTGCCAAATAGAAATCTAAATTATGACAACGTAATATTCGCATGGCACATATCAATTAACGTGTGCTGAAGAGAAATCTAAATCATGACAAACAAAACATTTTCAAGATAGAAAAGAAACGGATGTTCGAACCCATTTAAAGTCCATACATATTTGCTAAACTGATGTATTACTACAATGCATTCTCCTATTAAAATCCAACATATTTCATAATAAACTCCTTTAACACGAAGTGTACATTAAGTACCTTATTTCTGTTTCTTGAATCAAAATCCCCGTATATTACAAAAGAGGACATGGAATATGTGACTTTCAACCATATTTTTTCTCTTTGCCTAGTTTATGTCAACCTTTCCATTATCTATAATAGCTAAATAATTTGAATTACAGTGAAATAGCAGTCAGAGCCTCCTTGTATTTTGAATTGTCTTAAGAAATAAATTTGTGTTCAGTTTAGTGATGAGCTTTATGACTGTTCTAATTTCAACAATGGAAACAGAAAAGGGGGGAAATTTAAAGTGTAGACTTAAATCTGATGTGTGAGTTCATACCTAGCTTTTGAATAAAATAATCATGGACTTTAGAAGTTGAAAAAGATTTTAAAAATAATACAGCCTATTACCCATATATTACAAATGACAAGAATGAAAGTGAGGAAAGCCATATGAACTTTTCCAAGGGCATAAGGTTAACTTGGAGTAGAACCTAAATTAAAAATCAGGTTAACAAAGGCTGAATGATCACTATACCATCTAAGATTTTTCTGAAAAGCTAAGTCATTATTTAGGTCCTAAGACATTTAAGATATGAATTTTAAACTAAATGCAGACATGCTTCTAAACAATGTAAGATTAAAGAGAAGCCTATATAAATACTTCATGAAAATTTTGTGGAAAGTATGAAAAATGTCATATAGATGTACATACATACAGTTGATAATAATGTGTTTTTCTCAAAATGTTTCATATGTTAAAGTTGAAAACCATGAACATTTGTTCTCTTAAGCTTTATTTTTTGTATTCTTAAATGATATTTTTAACTGCAAATAAATGTATCCATTAGAATTATAAGAATATGTTTTGTTCAAATACCATGAATGTAAAAAAAGCATTTCAGAATAAATATTTAATTATTACCACATTCTTCCATGAAAGTAAACAGCACATCTACTCAGCACATTTTTAGAAAGTTTATGAAATACAATATCATTAAAAGACATGATTTAGGTCCACAGAAAACTTGAAATCTACATATGGGAAAAAAAAAACCCTACACTTTAATTTCCGTGGTTTCAAAAAACATGCTGGGAATAAAATGTTGTTAGGATTGACATAATACCCTTATCACTACACATTTAAGAGGAGGGATAAAAAACAGTTACATCACAATGGTGAGCACTCAGAGAGGACAATTACAGGGTACTATGAGAGTACAGGAGATGTCCCTGCCCCTGTGTGCCTGATAAGCAAGGGCTGTATGAGTGAAGTCATAGTCTAAGTCTCGGCTATTTAAAGTATACACTAGATGGTGGTGAGGATATTGGGGTTGTGAGAAAAGAGTGTTCCAGGTGGAAGAATCAGCATATGCAAATTCCTAGGAGCTTGAAGAAACCGAGAATCGTTGTGGGGTTGTTAAGATTTTAGCCTGACTAGAATATGGCTGTACAGAGTACGGCTGGGAGATACTGATACTGCAGCAAGAGGAGGTCACGCAGAAAAGACCCCTGTGAGGCCTAATAGGAAGTCTTCAGTTTGTCATCACAGAAATGAAAATCAGTAAGATTTTATCCATCTGAACCGAGCAAGCAACAGAATGCAGACAAATCACTAAGACTGGCTATGGTGGGAAGGAGTGGGGAAGAGGCTCCTAATGTGTTGTAAAACCACAGGAAAGATAAAGGTAAATGATCACCAAAGGCACAAAGTTGTCGAAGAGTAAGTAGAACTTCAGGGGGAGTTAAAAGCTGGGTGAATTGTCCAGGTAGTGAAGAGGAATAAGACCACTGCAACAGAATCAGATAACATGGTGACTAAAAGCCTAGCGTGTTTGTGAAATGGTAATAGAGTTGATTTGACAGCAACAGTTTTAAGAAAGAAAGGATGATAAAATAAATAGATTGGGCTAAATCATAGGGACAGAAAATGAGGGAGTGTAATTTATCTTTGATTTAAAACTTCGATGGCTTTTGAATCATGAAATATGGGATAGAGGGGATCAAACTTTGAACCTGGGAAATCAGTTCAGAGATTATTTCATGAACTAAGACTGGAAATTCCAAGGAATTCTCCTAGGCTTAGAAGACAGATCTGGAAAAGCTCTAAGGCTGGACAGCGAGACTCCTGTGAGTGGGGCAGGGCTATGAACTCTTGTGTTGTTTGCATCCCTGTGGCATTCCCACCAGCAGCAAACTTCACTCAATACAGCAAGAGGAAAGTTTGGAGGGGAAGTTAGTTTGTCTCCAGAAAGATGATGCACTTTAACAATAAATAAGTGCATACATAAATGCAGGTTTTGTTGAGATGTCTTTGAGACATGCAGATAACTTGGTCAGTATGTAGCCAAATACAACAAGCTCAGAGACTGAGGAAGGATAAGAAAGAAAATGGGTAGCAAAAGTTGGGGTCCTTTAAACCACAAGAGCTCCAAGGAAGATAAAATGAAGATCTACGTATTGAGGATTCCTGTTGATCCTTTCATCATCTGGACAGGAGTAGTAGTATTAGGGGATATGTTGATGGAAAATTTAATTTCCCTCAAAGTAATCAAGTGGTTACAGATATTTAGCACTTCCTAGATGATAGATATGAACACGATTTCAGTAAAATTTTGCATCAGCTGCAACAGAACCTAATTATTCTGGAATTGATTTTACAATAATACTTCAAATCATTATTTTCCCTTTATCTTGTTGTCTATTTGATAATTCTTTCTGCTTATATCTCCAAAATTAAAAAGGGTAGCAAAAATGTGAAAATAATAATAACGCATGCATCATTTCTTTCAGATCTCATAAAAGTTTGATGAGAAGTAAAGACAACATTAGTCAATTCTCTACTAACTGAGAGAGATTAATCTGAGAGAAACAGATGAAATTATATAATATTTTAAATAAATATAAGTATTATTGAAAATAACATTAAGGCATTAAAAATAACATTTGAAATAATATAAATCATAATATGTTGCCTAGTAAAGTAAAATCTAATATATACATTTTAATTAGCATAGTACTTTTGTCTATAAATTGTGAATTAATTCCTGCAATGTGATTTTTGCCTTCAAATGTGTTTTTTTTTTTTTTTGGGGGGGGGATGGAATCTAGCTCTGTCGTTTTTTCTTTGAATATGTGTTTTGTATTTCTATTCTATCATGTTAGTAAAATTATTTATTTTTCTTATACAAAAGTGAACCTCATTTTAGCACTAATAAATTACTACAAATAGTAAATTAATAAAACATGATTTAATTAAGTTTTATTATAAAAGCTTAAATGAATTTTGCCAATACATTTTAAATTTGTTTGATCTGACTCTCATTAGTACCTGTAATCTGAAATTTGCTAGTCGAAGAAATATACTTACACAACAAATTTGGAAATATAGGTATATGTATGTGTATATACACACACATGCACACACACATATATATATATACACACACACAATAGCAATACATACAATAGCAATTTTTTGGCTATTAAACTTCATTTCAGCAATGGGGAATTTAGCAAAATGTTTGGTGTTCCCTGCTAGCATTTAAATTGCAAAGTAAACAATTAGAGTAATGCAGAAAACGATGTGTGTATGAGTGCTGAACAACTTCTACCATCAACAAGTTTCCTATTGTTACAAAGAAATAGGTAAATAATAGAGACATTATGGCATTTAATGGACAAACATCCTTCATATTTTTTAATTCATTCACCTTTTAAGGACTCTAAGGGCCTCAGAATAGGCACAGAGACAAGACCAAAAATTCTATTAGACTCTAACCAGAGAATTAAGATTGAAAGAGTCACTTTTTCCATCTCAGAATGAAGCTGCTTTAACATAACCAAGTCTTCATTCATTTGCCATGCCTCCAAGGGCACTTTCTATGGATTTTATTTTTTTCCAGGGAAAATAGGTTTTTTTCTGGAAGTAACAGCACATTCTCCTCCAAACTGTTTATTCCCTCAAAGAGTTCTTCTTCCCACTGCATCAGGATATTTTATCCCACCAATCAAAGCAGTTTGAAATATCTTCCTTAACATTTTCTTTTACTGGTAAGGTTCATCAGACAAAATAAAACTATTAACAATGCCAAAAGAACTATTAGAAATGCATAGAGACATTTTACAATCATCCAATCAGTTCAACTTTACCAATTTTAAGAATTTTGCAATTTTAAAAATTATATAAATTATAAAATATTCCTCCAGGTAATCAACAAACAAGAATGTCAACAGAGAAAAGCTATTTAAAAGTATCTATTAAATGTCATAACGAATAATGGTAGATAAATCATAACAAAAACTCAAATGCAGAATAACATATCAGAATTTAATTAATTTGGCTGTAAAATCTGTATATCAAGAAACATATTTTATCTTCAAATAAAAACACATATGGTCATTTGAAGGGTGATGATTTTCCTGTACTGCTCTATACTTCTGCTTTCCCATCTTTTTTTCTTAAGCCAATTTTTTTTACCCAATCTCTGTATAACTGCACAGCAGAAAACTATTTTAACAGTTAGTTTTAACATAGAAGAGCAATCTTTAGTTGTTATTTTAGAAAGGAGATACGAACAAGGTGATATTTGGAAGCTATCATCATTTAATTCAGGAATTCACAAGAAAGCCCGTGTGCAAAAGCTGGAGGATATATTTCTTTGGGAAGTGTATTTCATATGATCTAAGCGCCTTTGACTGTACTATCTAATGTGGGTGTAAAATTGGGCAGGCTTAGAAATGAGTGACAATTAGTCCTAAGAACATCATCTAGTTAGGAATAAACTAATTCATATGATAGTGCCATTGACAGGTTAATGGTC
The DNA here is from genome assembly GCF_000001405.40 of Homo sapiens. Taxonomy (NCBI): domain Eukaryota; kingdom Metazoa; phylum Chordata; class Mammalia; order Primates; family Hominidae; genus Homo; species Homo sapiens. Next base: position 180,113,508 of record NC_000004.12, on the reverse strand, counting down.
TCAGGAAAAAAACAAAAACAATTTTTTAAAAAACCATTCTAAATTGTTTTCTCATTTCTGCGGTTTCCCCCCTATATGTCTCCCACTCTTTATTATATATAGAAACCTAACATGATGATAGCCTGAGGTGTTATCAAGTTCAGCGGTTTCAATGGTATTTAACTCACACAAAAAATAGGCAAATACTTTATTATTATGAGATCAGCATTTGCCCAGAGGTTGCATAATGTGGCTTAATCTTATTGCTGCTTTTTAAAGAAGAATTCCCTACTCTTCAATTATAAGTTTTTTTTAATTGGGTTTTTAAAATTTTAAAGGCCTTTAATAATAAATTATCCACAGCATGTCTATTGCCAACCACAGACGCCATCCCACCCATTGCTGTTTTTAAAGTACTTTATAATTAATCACAAAATTAACTAATTTTATGACACAATTTTGTTTCCATACCTAATCCATTGTTTCATCTTCTAAATATATGAGTGGTTCATAAAAGATATGATAAAATGCACAGTGTAAAAACATATAGTATTAATGCAAAGTTAGATCTAATATTCAAATAATATAATACCAACGATAGTCAAGCATAAGCTCTAATATGTTTCATCTTCTTTATTCCACCTATTTCTAAACACATTAATCAAGATCTGACTCAAAGTTCACTTATTACTTGAAGATAAATTTAAAAATTCCCTTAGCAAACAGGGTGCTCTGGTGCCTGGCAATAAGAATATAAAGAGAATGTAGAGCCTGACTTCAAGAGGTCCTGTCTAGATAGAAATAGATAATTATAAAACAAAGCTGCAAGTTTTTAAAAATGGAAATATGAAAATGTTAGTGATGAAATAAAGAAAAGAGTCTTTTATTTTGTTCTGGAAGTCAAGAAAAGGCTTACTAGAGGCAGTGAGGTATCAGAACGAGAAAGTACTCAACAAGTAATTGACCGGCAGGGGACAGAGACAGGTATTTGCATTCAGTGGGAAGAGGCTGGAATGAAGTCTTCCAAGCAGACATGACAGCAAGAACAAAGGCACAGAACTGAGTGATAGAATGGCCTATAAGGGGAGCCACAAGCAGTCTGCATTACTAAAGAAAAATGGAAATCCAGACAAAAGAAGCCATGGAGAATGAGGCTGGAGATGTATGTGTACCAAGGTTTAATCAACAGGACCATGAAAATTATATTTAGGAAGGTGAGATTTATCTGATAAGCCATGGAAACATCAAGATATCTTGAGCATGTGGAAATGCCCCCAGATTTGTGTGTTTGGAAATTTTATTATCTAATTACTGGAAACTGCTGGAAAGATATATTTGAGAAGTACAGTTCAGAGAAGGTTAAGGATATAGTTGCAACTATAATATATGGGGAGTAAAATGACAAGATGTGGTGCTATTTGGAATGGAGAGAGAGAGAGAAGTCAAAGATGATGCTCAGATTGTCTGCCATAGTTGTTCAGCATGTCTCCAAAATGAGCACCCCACCTCCACACTTCCTAAGTGACTTTTGGCAAATTATTAAACACACTTAAATCTTAGTTCCAAAACTACATAATTGTAGTAGAGTGCTGTGTGCTGTACAGGACTGTTAAGATTAGTTGAGATATTTCATGTAAAGTACCTAGCATAGTGCTCGGCACATACTACTATGAACTCAATAAATGTCAACTAGGTACTATAATTAATACTACCAGGAATTTCATGTAGCTATTAGTACCATAACTGAAAAAGAGAAAAATAGAAGATGTTATCAGTTTAGAAAAAAAAAGAAGATGATAGGTTCAATTTTGGAAATTCCATTGACTATGGAGGAAGGCATCCATGTGGAAACACCCAAGATATTACAGTACCAGTCTGATTTCAGACACAGTACGATGGTTGAGAAGATCAATATGACAGTAATAGAATCACAAAAATATAGAGCAATAATATTTTAAGGGCAAAAGAAATGAGAGGTCTTAAAAAGACAGAAAAGAATAGGTAGAGGTGCTAGTGGAGAGTGTGGTGTCACAGAAGCCATGGGAACGGGGGTTTGAAGACAAGATTGGCTAACAGAGATAAACGTTAAAAGGAAGTCTAGCAAAACAACTGAAATTGCCCATGCATTTGACAAATAGGTTAAAACCTTACTAAAATAATTGTGTGGACTAAGCGTATAAGCCAGAAGGTAACAGGTTGAGCAGGGATTCAGGTTGAAGGGTTAGAGACAGTGAATGAAAATTGCTTTTCCAAAAAATTCCATGAAAGTAACCAGCAGGGACCCTAAAGTGAGAAGCATGGTCCAAGGGGAGCTTTATGTGTGTGTAAGGTGTGTGAGTATATGCAGGTACCTGCCAGGGAGTGGTAGTTCTGTTTTTACATATTGCAGAGTTATTGTTTAGAGGAGAAAATGTTCTTAGAACAGGGAGCAGCTCATGACACCAGAAAAAACGGGGATGGACAGGGCTAAGTTGGAGTTAGTAGATGAGGCATGTGTTAATAGTTTGAGTGACTGACTTGGCTTTGAAGGAGATTTTGTCCTCTGAATCTAAAAGGAAATAGATAAGAAAAGCACAGACAGGCATATATTTGTAAATATTATTGGGGACAGAGGGCTGTCAAGTGAGGTAGGAGCCCTATGCCAGATGCTTGAAATGTTTTCAATAAATGAAGGAAAATATCATCTGCCAAGGCCAAGAGATCTGAATTTCAGAAGACTGGGGAAGGTTTGAGGTAGCAGTAGGCAGAGGGAGTGCATGAGCTGACAAATGACAATGAGAAGCTTGGGGAGCATTGACAAATGTCTGGCTGAAACTAGAGACAATGAAGGTGTAATGGTTCCCAAGTGCATAACTGCATGATTTTCTCCAGATGGATTCCTGTGTCTGGGTGTAAGAATGTGAAAAGTAGATGTTGTTACCAATGCCATGTTGATGGCATCATAGATTGTGGTCAAAATGTAGTTGTGACGATCAAATATGGACCCCACACTGTGAAGGGTGTGAAGGGTTCCGGTGGGCATGATAGACAAAAAAAAAAAAAAAAAAAAAAATTAAGCAATTGAGGGACTAGGGAGTTGAATGAAGTTGACTAGAAATATTCATTCCTGCTCAAACTCAAGGCTCCAGTAAGAGCTTATATTCACAGCGCTTCACCACTGTGGCCACTGTGGTGGCATCATACATACCTTGCCACTGTGTTCAGGCCAGGGTATTCCTCCCCTAAGCAGATCAATTTGTGTCGTTCCTGGAATTTTTCTACCAGATCTGGGGAGAACTCTCACTTTCCCTTTCTTTTTGTGAAGTTCTCAGTATGTAAGTTCAGATTCGCGAGGGAATCGATGTAATGTTTAAAAGAAACAGATGTGGAAGAAGGACAGAGGGAGGGAGAAAGTATGGAGAAAGAGGGAAAGAGAAAGTGAGAGACAGAAGAGAGAATGGTAATGATGATATAATTGCTATTAGGGATTAATATGAACATTCTTAAAAAAAATAAACAAAACAACTTGGGACCCACCCAGGGATGCAGAGTCCCCATCCACAGTTGTGTGAGCAGGTGGATTTTCCCACCCATGCACTTTTTGAAGACCTAAGTCTTTATATTTAGTTTAATAAAGGTAATTGATAAAATTAAGCTAGTTACGTTATACTATATATTTTGAACACTTTGCCAAAGCATCTGAAGAAGCAGAAAGACAGGGAGCATTATCAGCTCCCAAATAAAAATAATTTTTTTTCCAGTTAAATGATTCTTTCCATTGCATTCTCTACATTACTCTGAAACTAAGCTCAAAGTAGTCAAGTTTTAAAGAATGTCTATCTGGTGTAATTAAACTATGAATTAGTGTTTAGTAGAGATTAACGTTTAGAGTAGCTCAAAGGGATAATAATTCTTGCATTTAGCTGTAGAAGTTTAAAGTGCTTTTGGGTTGTTTGTCTTAAACAGAGCATTCTGGAAAGTTCAATTTAGAAATTATAAGAATGAGTGGAATTCATATTTTATAGCTTTGGTCCCCAATCTTTTTGGCACCAGAGACTGATTTCATGGAAAACAATTTTTCCACAGATGGGGTGGGTGGTGGTGGTGGTTCGGGCAATGATTTTGAGATGAAACTGTTCCACCTCATATCTTCAGGCATTAGAGTCTCATAGGAACACTCAACCTAGATCCCTCACATGCACAGTTCACAATAGTGTTCGTGCTCCTATGAGAACCTAATGCTGATGCTGATCTGACAGAAGGCAGAGCTCAGGCAGTAATGCTCGCTCACCTCCTGCTGTGCAGCCTGGTTCCTAACAGGCCAAGGACTGGTACAGGTCCACAGCCTGGGAGTTGAGGACCCCTGTTTTATAGAACAGATGAGCCAATTCATCAAATACCCATCATGTGATAACTATTCTATGTGCTATAGTCAATTTATTTACCTCACCATGCCTATGTCTACAGATTACATCTCTCTCTCTCTCCACACACACACACACGTACACACACAAATATAAACTTGTAGAACGTTTGGTTTTGCCAAGTTTATGAGCCTAGAAACTATACTAAGATTTATTTGACAAATCTAAGTCTGAAGAGACACAGTTATTTGAGCAGACTCTCCCTTCCAAGCTGCACTTGTCCTTTCCTGCCAGCTCAGGCTCATTTCCATACTGAGGCTGATGTATGGGGTGGATTCCTGAGATCACTCTTTTATCAAATTTCTCATCTCTCAGACAGGCTACTCTCTATACCCTCCTTCTTTTCAAAAGTTCTCTTTGAGATCAAGTGAGGAATCTTTTCTCCTATAAAAGAGCTTCTACTTTCAGTTTTAGTTGGACCTAAAACAGTTCTTTTCTTTTGAAATGTTGAGATAGTTCTTTCACGAGACTGGTTAGATTTCCAGTGTCATGAGTTCCAAGGATGGAGCCCTGGTGCGCTCCAACATCCACATGTCAGAAGCGGAAAATCTTTTAAGGAGACCTAGCAGGAATGACCAGTGAGATAGGATGAAACAACCAGGTCAAATGCTCCAGATGGGGCAATTAAGATGTGGACCAAGAAGTGACATTTAGACTTGGCAGTGTTGCAGTTGTTAGTGCTTCTTTACATTCGCAATTTGTAGAGATCGGTGTGGCAAAATCTGATTGACGTGCACCAAATAGAAACTGACAGCAAGGTAATGGATGATCATGGCTAAGAGAACTCAGGCAAGGCGTTCTGCTGAAAAGAGGAATGAAGATATGGGGCAGTAACTGGAGGGGAAAGTGGGGCTAAGAAAATACTTGTTATGTATGTAAGAAATAACAGCTGGTGAGAAAGACATAACAGAGCAGAGAAGAAAATGAAACAATGACAGCAGAGAGTTGCACGCTGATCTCCTTGCATAGGTGACAGAAGATGAGATTTGGTGCATGTAGTATATGTTGAATGAATGGAAGAATAAATGAATGAATGAATAACTCAAAGAATCATAGAAAGACTTTCTTAATATTTGCAGCATTGTATTAGATACAAAATATTTGTACTACAAAGTATTTGTAAGCAAAATAAAATTATATTCCATTCACAGAGTCTTTAAAAATAGTAAAAGAACTATGTTATCCAAATAGTCAATCAATTAACAAAGTCAGTGAGCATCCACTATAGAATGAGCAATATGTCTGACATTATCAAAATCAAAGAAAAGCCTAAGACAGGTTTGTTACCCTTAAGGTATGCAATGTATGGTTAAGAAACATGCAGTATGTATAACCAGCTGATAAACTGCCTACATTATTCAGTGTTTAATATATCTTAGTATATTTATTATTATCATTAAAATATCATTAAACTACTGCTATAGTTTTTTTTAAACCCTGTGGTCAATTATTTCATTTGACTCAAAGTACAAAGATACTCTGTGAAAAACGAATCGTCTTTCCTTAGGCAGCTTCACTGATATCTAGAATGCAAACTGCTCTTAACATTCCTAATTTTGCTTTTTTGCCTAATGTTCTCCCTGGGATACAAAATCATTACCCTAAGGACCATATCAGTGGAAATGTTCTTTTATTCTTCTAAGGCAATGTACTGCCCAGGACACTGATTTTACTTTGATTGTTGATTTCCTTCTCCATTTTCCTAACACAGACATTTCACATGTAGTTTTACTGTTTTAGAGTCAGTAAGGGTTCAGAGCTCAGATTTGGAGTCAGGCCGGCCAGGATCTCATGCCACTCACCGTAGGGACCCTGGAATGTGTATGAAGTTCCCTGTGCTCCGGCATCCTCATCTGTAAAATGACGCTAATGACAGCATGACTCACACAATTTTCGTTAGGATTAAATGAGCAAGTACATTGGAAATAATAGAGGGGTGTATAGCACATGGTAAGTACTCATTGAATATTAATCCTTTATATTCCATAGGCCTTCTGTGACTCATGCCTCAGTGCCTGGTTCAGTCACGTTCTATACTATTTTTCCTTGAAAGAGGAGGACAGTCTTAGATTTTTCCCAAGTCCTCAATGAGGAAAGTGAGTACTATATCCAAACTGTGCAGCAAGTGTAAAAACAGACACAAATTCAAGATTACTTACAACTGACTATGGAAATATCCAAGGATGTATCATGTTTTTCATATCAAATTTTGAGAATTCATACATTATCATGATTTGTCCCATGGAATGTGTGTAAGTAATTCCTAAATTACAGACATGCCTTCTGCAGTCCTCTTCTCTGAGCTCTGGGTTTATTTTCACATGTCTTCTTAATGTTTCCACTGTGATGGCCTGATGGAATAGCAAGTAAAATATATCTAGAACCAACCTTATATTTCCATTACGCATATTTCCTACTTCCCAAAAAACAAGCCCTCCTTGGAATGTCTTTTTTTCCATATGTGTCATTGCCCAGTTCTGAATTTTAAATTATGACTTCATCTTTCAATTCACTTCAATGTCCATGCTCACAATACCCATGATGTTACCGTGTCTTAGAAAACATATTCAAAAAATTGGAATTTTTTATTCAGAAAGAGAGATGTGGGCCAGACATAGTGGCTCACACCTGTAACACCAGAAATTTGGGAGGCCAAGGAGGGAGGATGGCTTGAGACCAGGATTTTGAGATCAGCCTGTGCAACATAGCAAAACCCTGTTCCTATAATAAATGAATGAATAGAGATGTGGTATGTGGGTGTGTATGATCTGAAAATGACAGCCTGAGGTTACGTGAGAGTATGAATCAGTGAACAAATGGGTTTGGCAACTTCTAGTCATTCCTCAGGCAAATGTCTTGCAAAAAGAATCTAAGAGGAAGACATGGAACATATCCATATAGGTCAGAGCTCAGCAATTGGAAATTTAGAGACATAATAACTCATGCGAAGGTACTGAGGCCCAGAGACTGTGCTTGAAGCTTTTTCCAAGTGTCATCTCATTCAATTCAATTCTTAAAACAAACTTGTGAGCTATTACTGGCCCCATTTTGCAGATTAGGAAACCAAAGTTTGAGAAGCCTCATTCACAAGCAAAGAATAAACATGCCAGGAGGAAGCTTATTATGTGGAAAAAAAATTGTTAAAAGTAACAACCGAATTTTATTATTTAAAAAAGTGGTATGTGCATATAGATGTGTGTATGGTACTACATCAAACTGTTAACAATGATATTTGTGGTGTGTGCATATAGATACGTGTGTGTGTGTGAGGTACTACATCAAACCGTTAACATGATATTTTCTTGTTGGGAGATTTCTGAAATTTGATCTGGGGAATCAATTCTTGTCATCTGCCAGCAAATAAGTAAAAATGAAGACAGACTGGTAGATCCTAAAGGGATGGCACAAAAGACAACAGAGATTCACCTAAGCGCCCATCAATGGATACATAAATTTTTAAAATGTGGTATATACACACTGTTAAATATTAGTTAGACATAATAGAGAATGAAATCTTGTCATTTGCAGCAAAAACAACAACAACAACAACATCGAAAAAAACAAAGTGAGTCAGCAAATAATTACAGGGACACAGGTAGGGGGACTAGAGAACCAGTGCAAAGACCAGAAGCACAGAGATTGCCCCATATTTGAAGAACGACTAACACAGAAAAGGAGTTCATTTCTTCATTAAGCCATAGGCTCTGATGCCCAGTTGAGAAGAATCCCTGTGCTATTTACTCCAATATTGCTATCACTCTATTTTGCACATACCAATGCACCATGTTGAAATGCCCTCCCTGCCAATATAAAGCCTATCTTGAACCTGTGAGTCAAGCCTTCCACTTTTTCAGGGTAGTCCAGTTTATAAGACATGTTTCACTTTTGAACTGCTGTAACTTTTATCTGGTCAACTTTGCTAATATTAGTTACACAGTGATTCTACTGCCATACAAATCTTGCCGTGCATATTTTATCTCTACAACTAGATTTTATGCTCCTTAAACATTAGGGCTTTACCTTATTTTTGCTTCCTTGCATAAAGCTTTTAATGCGGTGCTTTACTTGTAGATCTATTTGATAAGCATTGGTTAATTAATATACTGAATTTTAGATGCAGAATTCTTTATAAGCAGTAAGGAGAAACATTAGCAGAAATAAGACTAGGTAATGATCTCTACAATTTAATTCAATATAATTAATGTGTGTGAATTTAAAATAAAATTTTATATGAATAAATTGTTAGAGTTGAGATTTTCATATAATGAAACAAGAAAATTTAAATTAAGGTTTCCCTTAGTAACCATAATTCATTCCCTTATGCATGTATAACATTTCATTGCTATTAATTTACAATTAGGTTTTATATATAAATATATAGGTAATGAATAACCCTGACAATAAAAAGAACATATAGACTATTAAAATAATGCCTTAAATTATAGTGTGTGGAAGATCTCTCTAATTCTGCTTTAATATTACAAATAATTTTGAGAATTTTCACAAAAGTATCTCAGAGTTACACTTTTTCATAACCAGCTGTGCTCACCATTTTTCTAGTCGTTCGAATCTTTTCTTTGCACTAATTTTCCGATACATTCTTCTATTACCTTAGCATTTTAATATATTTTAGCCTTTAACTCCTAAAACCCTTAATAATCATAATATCATATATTTACTAAATTATTTATAACATGATATTTTATACAGATTATTGCACACATATCCCACCATAAGCTAGTGATTTGTAAAAGTGGAGTATTTTCATACTAATTGTAATGGATACAAGGTAGATTCAGTGCAAATGTTAAAAGACTTACACACAGCGGAGAACTGTTAAGAGGCACAGAGAGTAACCAAAGTCATGTTTTCTGATTCCTAATTTAATGGTCTCTATTTACCAGTGGGGTCTTGAGAGTCTTAGAATATACCATCTTATAATCTTTTAGACTCTTTAACATTTTGATCTAGATGCTTTAATTACCTAGCCAGATTAAACACCCTCAGAAAGCAGGGATTTTTAACATTTTGGTTGCCGTAGCTTAGCAAAGTAGCAAACAAATAGCAGTCACTTGAAAAATATGTGTTTTTCTTTATAACATTGGGAATTATTTCCAAATAACTATCATGACTCATCAAAAAGCAAAACAAAACAACAACAAAACTTCCTTTCGTGTAATTAAGAGAAATCAATTTCTAAAATAAATCATATCAATACTTAGACATATATTTGATTTTAAAATTAAAGCTCACATACATGGAAAAATAAAAAATCATTCCCATATCAGTGAGTCTCGAAGTTGTCTCTGTATTATATGATTTGTTTATTTAAAATACAGATTGTTGGGCCCTACTGCATACTAAGGAGTCAGAATCCCCAGGAGAAATCACAGAGATTTACATTGTTCTGAAGTCCTATCAAGCCATTCTTATACTCACTACATTACAAAGATACTTTTGTGAATGTTGATGTGTAGAAATGTTCACACCCTCTTTTACTTTGCTTCCTGAAATAACAGGGATACTAACACATGTAAGTGTTGTTTCACTGCTTACTTTTTTCATTTTAGAACTTAAGAATTGTATTTCTTTTAAGGTAAAATTTTGTATTACAATGTATAATCTAAACTTTGATTTGAAAAGACATATTTTTCCCCAAGGTGATACCTTTTTATTAAAAAGCGAGGGAAATATATTTCAGATATTGAATTTTACATTTAATCTATCATGCTTCAGATTACTATGTTTAAATTTGGCAAACCATTTTTAACTTAAGTAATCTGTATAGGTCAGGCTTCAATTTCTAAATTCATCTAAAGTAAAAATGTACACACTAAAATTTACACTACTTGTATAGCTAAAATACGTCATATCCTCACCCAAAAACAGCTGAATAGATATTCTCTTTACCTTTTAACAATAATTTACCTTTGGGCAAAAAATGTGTGAATCCAGAATGTAGCCCCACGCTTAAATTAGGAAGGCTGTAGGTACTTATAGGTGAACAATCTGTTAGCATTTACGCATACAGCACTAACTTTGTTTAGTTATATAAATTATGTTTTTCTTTATTTAGATGTTAAATGCATTAAGTCTTTTCAAAAATAGTTATTAAATTAAAAATCATCCAAAGAGTTCTATATATAGGAAATAATGCAAACATTGGGACAAATGTCCTTTTTTTCTTCCTGAGCAGATGTTGGCATTTGGAGACACATTTTAAAAAAAAAAAAGTATTACCTTTACTCACTTCTATCACAAACACAGAGTCAAAGAATTTCTACTAAATTCCTCCTGTGACTTGTATAACAAAATATTAATGCCTGCTTCTAATGTTTTCTGCCAGATGCAGAAGCAATTAAGAAGTATAAATGATTAAAAGACTAGTCGATGTAATCAGCATAATCAATAGGATCCAGGATACCAGGTCCATGCAATTTTTGGTCCACAGGTATAAAGACAAAGACAGAGAGGAGACAAGGAACACAAGAGCCTTGACCCTGGTTGTGTATATTTCAAAGGCTATGTTATACAAAATGACTTATACAATCCAGATTCAATAGTTGGTTAATACGTCAAGTTCTAAAGTCAGATATTATGAAATATATATAAAGTTCCATAGACACATGGAGTCAACAAAGGTCAGTTAATACAACATTGAACATATTTTCTGGAATAACTGATCAATGTCAACTAATAAAAGAATACAGTGCCAGTAAAGGTGTGAGTCTATCAATAGTGAGAAAATGTGATAAGGGCTTCTAATGTCTGTGCTCGCCATATGTGGAACCATCAAGAAGGTTGTTCTGCCTGCAAAATCTACCATAGTGAGTGTCCAATGGCTAAAACTACTTTACTCATTTCTTTCCTAGGTAGTCTAATGAAATGAAAATACTGAGATTGGGGCCCCAGATGGCTGAGTACAAGCAGCCAGTGTGCACTGCGCTCATGGAAAAGAGAAAGAGGAACAAGTGAGCACTAGCTCCTCAACTGGATGGGCCAGGCGTACACACTGGGGTTAATCAAGGAAGCAACACAATCCACAAAGAACAGAGAAGAGCAAGACAGGACAGCCACCTCCTCAGGACTGGCACAGACTCAGGGGGAGGCTCCCCACTGCCGGGAAACGGTGAGTAAGGGAGAGCCCTCGGGGTCCCACACTTCTTCCAGACCTCTGAACCCTGGGCTCAGGAGATGCACCATGAACCCCGTGGCACAGCCAGGGCCTCCTGATTGACACGGAGAGCTACGAGGAGTCCGGGCAGAGCTGCTGTTCAGACACACGCAGAGTCCGGGGATCTTGGACCCCTGGGAACTCTGGTAGCAACCAGGGGCTGCAGCTCCAGCAACAGTGGAGGCCAGGCTCCCTCACACGTCCCTAGGAAAGGGGCTGAATCCCTAGGGCTGAGCAGCGACAGGCCGCAGGCCTCGCCTCCACTGCACCTGGATGGACAAGGCCGACTGGCCTGGGAGCCTGGCGTGACCACCGCAGTGCCGCCTGTACTCTCAGGCCAGTGGTAGCCCTGCCCTTGCCTGAGACAGTGATCCCAGAGAGCACAGGCTGGCCTGCAGGTTTTGCTGCTCCACAGTCCCGCTCCTGCTTCTCTCAGGCTCAGCTGGAGCGAAGTGATTAAGGACTAACGCCGGCCCCCAGCACCGCAAGGCTGTCTTAGGAAAAGGCGGCCAGTTTTCCACGCGGGTCCCTGCCCCCGTTACTCCTCACTGCACGGGGCCTCCTGACCTGGGCTCCCAGCACAACCCCCCTTCCCCGGCCTGATCACTTTAGTCAGTGGAGGCTCTGCTTTTCTCTGGGGAGGGGGCGGGGAGAATAGCAGAGACAACCCACAGCCCCTCTCCCATTGCAGCCGCAGCAGGCCCACCCTTACCGCAGGCAGGCTGGAAAAGGAAAACGAGCCAGGTTGCATTGCTGACATCCCCGGCACACTGAAGCCACCGTAAGGAGAGGATCCCCCAGCCCCTCGGGATGGAAGACCAGCTGCCCCATTCCCGACTAAGCATTCCCACTGGTAGTGTCTCTGTGTTTCCCTGGGGTGGATGGAGTTCCCAGAGGCAATGACAGCCCCTCTGCCACCACCACTGCAGCCGTTCTGCCCTTGCTGTCCTGGGACTGGGGAAGGAACAAAGAGCAGGAGGGCTTCACTTGAACCACCAGCACGCCAGGGAACTCAGTCTCTCTTCCATGTGAGCCCCCAACCCCCAAGTAGGGCCTTCAGCTTGGGCGGACGCTGCAGCCGCCCTGACTGAACATCCCATTGACAGCGGCTCTGCACGTTTCTCTGGGGTGGAGCTCTCAGAGGCAAATGAAAGCCACTCTGCCACCGCTACTGCAATGACTCTGCCCCTCTTGCCCTTGGAGTGGGGAAGGTACAAAGACCCTGATGCTTTACTCACACCTCGAGCAAGCCTCAGCCGCCCTAAGGAGAAGAAGCCAGTCTGTCTTCCCCATAAGCACCCCACACCCCTACTCATCACTAAGCAGGGCGCCCTGGCTTGGGCCCACAACACAGCCGCCCCAGCCTGGGCTGATGGCTCCAACTGGTAGCGGCTCTGTGTTTCTCTGGGGCGGAATCTCCAGGGACAAGTGAAAGGTCCTCTGCCACTGCCACTGCTGAGATCCCTGTCCTTGCTGCCCCCAAGCTGGGGAGGGAACATAAAGCCTGAGCTCACCCCAGAGCTGCGGTATGGTGTGCAGCCTGAGAGTGCCAATCCAAGATCTGCAGCCAGCATTTGAGTGAGAGAGGAGTCCACACTCAGAAAACTGAGAGGCAGTTTGACTGCAAACCCTAGGAAACACAGAGAAGCCACGTGGCTGAACGAGTGCCTACCTACCATCCATTATGCTTATCCCCCATCTATTGGACAACAGCCCAAACTGCCACACCAAAAATACTCTGCTGACAAACACTGCTCCCAAGAAAACAAGGACAAGAATTCAACCACAAATCAAGATGCAGCGCAAAGCCTCAGCCCTCTGAAAACAACCAGAAAGGAAGTCAACTGACTTTACTCAAATTACACCACAGTTAAAGGAACACCAGACCACACAGATGAGGAAGAACCAGCACAGAAACTCTGGCAACTCAAAAAGCCAGAGCGTCTTCTCTCTTCCAAATGACTAGCTCCCCATAAATCGCTCTTAACCAGGTTGAAATGGCTGAAGTGACAGACACAGAATTCAGAATATGAATAGGAATGAAGATCATCAAGATTCAGGAGAAAGTTGAAACCCACTCCAAGGAATCCAAGGTTTACAATAAAATGATACCGGAGCTGAAAGACAAAATGGCCATTTTAAGGAAGAACCAAACTGATCTTAATTGAGCTGAAAAACGTACTCCAAGTATTTCATAATACAACTGAAGGTATTAACAGCAGACCAGATCAAGTTGAGAAAAGAGTAAACCAACCCCAAGCTAGCAAAAGGCAGGAAATAACCAAAATCAGAGCTGAACTGAATGAAACTGAGACGTGAAAAACCATACAAAAGACTAACAAAATCACAAATTGTTTTTTTTGAAAGAATAAATAGGATAGCTCAACCACTAGAATAATAAAAAAAGGAGAGAAGATCCAAATAAACACAACCAGAGATAACAAAGGGGACATCACCACTGACCCTGCATAAATACAAAAAAGAATCAGAGACAGCTACAAAAATGTCTGTGCACCCAAACTAGAAAACCAAGAAGAATGCATAAATTCCTGGAAATATGCAAGGTCCCTAGACTGAACCAGGAATAAATTCAAACCCTGTACTAACCAATACAAAATTTCAAAATTGAGTCAGTAATAAAAAGCCTACCAACCAGAAGCAGCCCAGGTCCAGACAAATTCTAAGCCAAATTCTATGAGATATATAAAGAATAGCTGGGACCATTACTACTGAAACTATTCCAAAAAACTTAGGAGGAGGGATTCCTCCCTACTCATTCTATGAGACCAGCATCATCCTGATACAAAAACCTGGCAAAGATAACAAAAAAAGAAAACTTCAGGTCAATAACCTTGATTAACATACATGCCAAAATTCTCAACAAAACACAAGAAAGCTGAATCCAGCAGCACATCAAAAAGCTAATCCACCATGATCAAATAGGCCTTATCACTAGGATGCAAGTTTGAGTGAACATACACAAATCAATAATTATAATTGATCACATAACCATAACTAAAAACAAAAACCACATAATCACTGCAGTAAATGCAGAAAAGCCTTTTGATAGCATTGAGCATCCCTTCATGTTAAAAAACTCAACAGACTTGGCATTGAAGGAACATACCTCAAAATAATAAGATCCATCTGTGACAAATCCATAGCCAACATCATACTGAATAGTCAAAAGCTGGAAGCATTCCCCTTGAGAACCAGAATAAGGCAAGGATGCTCTCTCTCACCACTCTTATTCAACATAGGATTGGAAGTCTTAGCCAGAGCATTCAGGCAAGAGAAACAAATAAAGGCATCCAAATAGGAAGAAAGGAAGTCAAGCTCTCCCAGTTTGCAGATGATATGATTTTACACCTAGAAAGCCCCACAGTGTCTGCCCCAAAGTTCCTATATCTGATAAACAACTTCAGCAAAGTTTCTGGAAACAAAATCAATCTACAAAATCAGTAGCATTTCTATAAACCATTAATGTCCCAGCTGAGTGCTAAATTGAGAACGCAATCCTGTTCACAATAGCCACAAAACAAGATAAAATATCTAGGAATGCAGATAATCAGGGAAGCGAAATATCTCTATACAACAATTACAAAACAGTTCTGAAAGAAATCAGAGATGACACAAACAAATGGAAAAACATTCCATGCTCATGAATAGCAAAAATCAATATGGTTAAAACGGCCATACTGCCCAAAGCAAATTTAGTGCTATTCCTATGAAATTACCAATGACATTTTTTCATGGAATTAGAAAAAATAATTCTAAAATTCATATAGAACCAAAAAAGAGACCAAATAGATAAAGCAATCCTAAGCAAAGAACAAATCTGAAAGTATCACATTACCCGACTTCAAATTATACTACAAGGCTTCAGTGACCAAAACAGCATGGAACTGGTACAAATACAGATACACAGACCAATGAGAATAGAGAGCTCAGAAATATGGCTGCATACCTACAACCATCTGGTCTTCGACAGAGTTAACAAAAACAAGCAGTGGAAAAAGGGCTCCCTACTCAGAAAATGGTAGTGGGAAAACGGGCTAGCCATATGCAGATGATTGAAACTGAATCCCTTCCTTGCACCATGTAAAAAACTCGACTCAAGATGGATTAAAGACTTAAATGTAAAACCTAAAACTATAAAAACTCTTGAGGAAAACCTAGGAAATACCACCCTATGGGCTATGGGTGGTATTTCCCATGGGTTATGGGAAAGATTTTATGACAAAGACACCAAAGCAATTGCAACAGAAATAAAAATTGACAAATGGGATCTAATTAAACTGACAGCTTCTGCACAGCAAAAGAAACTATCAACAGAGTAAACAGACAACCTGTAGAATGGGAGAAAATATTTGCAAACTATGCATCCAACAAAGGTTTAGTATCTTGAATCTGTAAGAAACTTAAACAAATTAACATACCAAAAAACAACCCCATTAAAAGGTGGGCAAAGGAGATGAACGCTTTACAAAAGAAGACATATATATGTCCAAGCATATGCAAAAATTCTTATAATCAGTAATCATTAGAGAAACACAAATCAAAATCATAATGAAATACCATCTCACACCACTCAGAATGGCAATTATTAAAGTCCAAAAATAACAAATGCTGGCAAGGCTATGGAAAAAAAAGGGAACTGGTACATATTGTTGATCAGAATGCAAATTATTTCAGCGACTATGGAAAGCAGTTTGGTGACTTCTCAAAGAACCTGAAACAGAACTACCATTTGATCCACCAGTCGCGTTATTGGGTACATAATAAAAGGAATATAAACCATTCTACCATAAAGACACATGCACGTGTATGTTCACTACAGCACTATTCACAATAGCAAAGACATGGAATCAATCTAAATGCACATCAACAGTAGCCCAGATAAAGAAAATGTGGTACATATAGGCAACGGAATATTACGCCGCCATAAAAGGAACAAGATCGTGTCCTTTGCAACAACATGGATGAAGGTGGAGGCTGTTATCCAAACAGAACTAGTGCAGGAACAGAGAACTAAAACTTTTAAGTGGGAGCTAAACACTGAATACACATGGACACGAAGAGGCGAACAACAGACACTGGGGCTACTCGAGGGTGGACGGTGGGTGGAAAGCGAGGACCGAAAAACTACTTTTTGAGTACTTTGCTTATTAACTGAGTAATGAAATAGTATGTACACCGAACCCCTGTAACATGCCATTTACCTATAGAAACAAACTCCACATGTACTCCTGAAACTAAAATAAAAGTTTTTAAAAAGTTAAAAAGATGTCACCTACTTCCGAGATTCTGGAAAATATCTTTTGCGAAATGGAATGTTAATCCTTTGAGGACTGCATTATATCTACATTAACATGTTCTGTGTGCTTTTATGGAATCAGAAGGTAAAGGGCTCTGCTAATCATAACTGTTGGGGTAATGCCGCTATTGTTCCACCATTCTGTCAGTCAACAAATATGGAGAATTGATTCTGCTTCTGTATTTAGTTAAATATATCTGCAAATTGTTAATTTCTAAAGATACACAGTATAAACTCAGGAGGGACAGCCAGATGAGTATTTAAATATGACAGTCATTTTTGTGTAACTCTTATAAAAATATTCCAGACCATGCATGTCTGCATCTGGATGATGAGAGTAAATAATATTTCCTAAGAATTCTCTAAAATGAGCATTATTTTAATAGATGATTTAGTTCTAAAAAATAAAATACTAATAGAAGTATACCGTAATCAGACATCCATATCTCATTTTGGTGAATATCTTTTCTAGTATGGCTGCTATATAAAAATACTGCTTTCAGAAAAAAGGAAAAGAGTAGAAAGCAATAAGGCAGAAATAGTTTTAGGCAAGGCATAGCATTAGTGGATTCTGAGAATTAGATCACAGAACAACATTCTGAAAGTATTAGTTTCCCTTCTAAACTTGCTTCTTGAGGTCTCATATTCTATTCTCTAAGGGTCCTGTAATCTCTTGGAGGGCTTAAGATCATTGACTAGGAAGAGGGTTAGCTAGATTGTTGAAATATTTTGGTACTCTTGATCCTTGTCTTTTATCCATAGGAGGAAAGCTTTGTGAGTAAGCAGGGGCCACAGCTGTTGCAGATCATTAGGATGCTTCTCTCAAGATAACTCCAGGCCTGACTATTGCCCATGGTGACCAAGGATGGCCTCCTATCCAGGACCATAGGACAAAATGGATTTTCACTCTGTGTTTCATCCAGCATTTTGGTCACATAAAATTGAAAGACTTTCAACATACTTAAGTCAGCAAACAACGAAAACACAGTCAAAAGAATGGGGGAGGCATCATGTGTAGTGTCTTTAGTTTGTCAGAAATCTCAGAAGTAATTTTTTCTAGTGAAAAATAAATAAATAAAATATAGAGACAAATGAGTGAAAAAGAAAAATTGGGAGCTTTGAGAAAGAACAACTAAAATCTCTGTACTTTTTTTTTTTTTTTTTTTTTTTTTTTTTTTTTTTGAGACAGGGTCTCCTTCTGTCACCCAGGCTGGAGTGCAGTGGTGCCATCTCGGCTCACTACAACCTCTGCCTCCTGGACTCAAGCAATTCTCTGACCTCAGCCTCCTGAGTAGCTAGGACTACAGGCAAGTGCCACCAAGCCTGGCTAATTGTTTTTTGTTTGTTTGTTTTTTGTAGAGACAGAGTTTTGCCATGTTGCCCAGGCTGGTCTTGAAATCCTGGCCTCAGGCAATACGCCCTCCTTAACCTCCAAAAGTGCTGGGATTACAGGTGCAAGCCACTATGCCTGACCAAAATCTCTGTACTCTTGAATGGAAGCTGTCCCACATATTTTGAGGGTGATCTGTTGATTACTGAGACATTTAGGGATACAGGCACACTATGGAAGTCCATTTGTAATGCTGAACCCTCCTGGGAAGCCCACAGGCCTGAAAAAAGACAATTCCTCTCTTTGCGCTCCTCATCCTTAATGTCAAAGAAGACAGTTGGACATAAGAGTATCACATCTTCAACTATAATGAGGAAGATGACACAAAGCCTGAATATTAGGAAATATACTTGGAAAAGGTGGAGGTGGGGAAGGCTTTCCACTTTTATAGAGTATCTGCATTGCCAGCAAGAGGTACTGGGTTAACTACAATAGTTTGTATAAGATATTTTTAACTTGGGAAGAATAATACGAGACAACAACAGATGCTCCCAAGATTAATGTATATCAAAGAGACATGTTAATAATAATACTTAGACCCTGGATGGAGGCATGGAATTTACAAACTTTATTACACCAAAACCTTACTTGCAAATCTGATACCTACCTTAAACTCTGTGTTATACAAAAGCCAAGAACATATATTTTATTCTTGCACTTCTAGGAAGAATAGGGTACTTAACAATGAGTAGGTTATCTAAAAGTGCATGACAAATAAGTTAATGCATAGGTAAATACATGAGAAAATATTATAAAATTAAATGAATGAATATAGTCTTACAGAGATGTGATTACATTCATTCAATTTAGTAAGAACTTAAACGAGGTACAATTTTGACCAATAACATACAAAGAAAAAGCCAGAAGAGTACCTGTCCTTATGGAATTCACAATCTCAAAGGTAACAGTTGTATTACTAGACCATTTTTTCTGAAAGGATAAGATGGGATAAGGTAGCATTTCTGGGCCTCCACTGTCTCATTTCTAAAGTAGAGGATTTAGAATAATTATGGACATTTCTTCTAACTCTAGGGTCCTGTAACTACTGTAACTATGATGATTAAGAGGACTAGAAGAAATGAAAGAAAACACCTAGTTTTACTTCTTCATAGCCCCCAAGCTGATTAACTTAGAAAATGTCTCTTGAAATTTCACTGAGTACAGCTGTTTCTGTTGACAAGAAATTGCTGTTGAACCTACAGAGACTGTCTGTCTATGTTGCACTGTTCTTAAAAGCAACCATAATTAAATAGTGCTTTTGGTAAAGCTCATTAAGATAATCGTAAATTACATAAATTTAATTGGAAGTTATTATAAAAGCATTTATCCTTCATTTATATGATCCAATTACACTGGTGCTTAATTATTCTATTGTCCTATATCTCTTTGTCTTATCTCTGTTAACTAGTCTGTGAGTCTGACACCTTGCTTTTATTTTCACAGTGCATAACACTGTGCAAGGTACACAGTATGTCAGTAATAATAACTGTTGAAACGAACTTCCTTATTGGTTATACATCTATGCTAATAAGCTAAATAAACAAAATTTTTACATTGACAAAAACTAAATGTTGTATTTCCCTGATAACATTATACTAGGGATTTCTTTCTTTTTTGTGTAATTTTTCTGAATTTTCCAAAGTATTTACAATAGATATGTAGTACTTATATAATCAGTAAAAGACATTTTATACAGTATTTCTGGAAAATGTATATACAATACTATGGGAATGTATAAAAGTTAATGACAAAATAACCCAGCACTAAAAACTAAACAAGAAAGTAAAAAAAATAGCAAGAGAGTAGAATAAATTAAATATTTTAGTATTTGAAGAGGACAGTTTTTAAATGTTCATAAACACTCGAAAAATAATCCATATATTTCTATAATTTTAAAGATTAACCCCATTAACTCCACGAGCCAAATAAAAATATTACAAATATGCATAATCCAGGTGGTTACAAATAATGGATAATGAAATCAGTGGGATAATGTTAAAGTTTTCAGGCCCAAGGGCAAAATAAATTATTTCAGTGAAAGGAAGCACATAGAATTGTGTAGGTTAAGGAAACTTGTTGATATATTTTTCTGACATTTACAGACAAAGAAAATAAAATTCATTGTCATATTTAACACCGAGTTTCTCAATCAGATTATGAAATAAGTGTCAGTGTGACTGAAAGGGATGTGTGTCAATGGATTAGAAAAACTTATATTCAAAGTATAATTAAATATCAGTGAAGATGAATTCATCTTCATATCTCACCTTCCCAAATCAATAGTATGTATCAGTATTCTAAGGATAAGGTTCCCTAGAGTGGCTGAATGTCACAATTCCCCAGCTACTCAGAGACTTCCTGAGAGTCAGTATTCTTCTAACTCACCATTCTTATCCCAAGAAAGGCACAAGATGAAGGATGAAATGCTCAGACAGTTTTTAAAGGAAAGGTAGGAGCCAGCCCTGTGATCAAAGCTTATTCCACTATTTTTCACTCACTTAGCAACTTAGATTATGATCTGTAGGGGAGGGAAAATAAAAATTGGTGCACAGTGGAGTTCTGAAACAGGAGTGGGATTATTTGTGTCTTCCTTGCAACTCTGTCCCACACATAGAAAATCTTGACAGGTGGAAATTTAGAAGGAGAAAGATAAGTATATACATTTTTTATTCGTCTCACAAATTCTCCCTTCCACTTTTGTGACTAAAAGAATGATCTATGTAAATCTTCATTTGTAACAAAAGTTGCTTTTATCTACTCACTCCAATTGGAAGTTAGATTCCAAACTAATTAATAGCATGGTACCCTTTACATGTTTGACTCTCAATAAATATTTACTGCATGAATGAATAAATAATACTTAGAACAAACAGTATTTATTCTATTATCATAACCATATAAAGGTATTGTATATTAATATATATTGCTAAAGCCATCTTAGATGCTACATACAAGTATCAATGTTTGTTTAAAACAGCATTTTTAAATTTTGCTATTTTTAATTTTTGTGGGTACACAGTAAGTGTATATTAAACATATCACTTTTGATATAAAAGACTGATTGAAATGATATTTATAAACAACTGAGATTTTTTTAAAATTGCATTTTTCAAAATAAAATAAAAATAATTTTGTTGAAATACTAAGAATATTTTTTGCCGTGTGAGTTTCATAACAGTTATCCAAAAGCTACAAGAAATCATATTCCAAATTTTATGTACACAGTTCTCTACATATGGTAGCTTTCCTGAACGAGAACGTAGCAGAGCATGAAAAGGTCTATTTTATGAGTCAGAACCTGACTCCAGCCACTGCTGGTATATCAACTTCACTCCAGTTACTTGATAATACAAGGCCACCATGGTGCCAGTGGTCGTTTCATGCTCAGTGAGCCTCATGGGGCTGAGAGAGCAGTCTATTTTTCCAAATGTCATCTTCCAAGTTACCACTTACACTCTTAAGCTGGTTATATGAACAGTAAGTCAGCTGAATTTTGTAGTGTATTAAAACTTAGGAAAGTGGACATAAACAGGCTGTAACTATTTATTGTAGTTGCCTTTATTTTTAAAAGCTTAATGAAATGGACACCATTTACAATTATTTTCTGAACAACCAAACAATCAAATCATTTGCTTTTGTAATGATTAGCCTTTGATTAAATGAAATAAAATCATACTGATTTCAAAAGCATTTTTCCTCCTTTTACTGGTCAATGCTATGGAGTACAGATACACAGGCTTTTGCCAAACATGGGCCTAATCATCAGCATTTTGGAAAATTTTGGCAGGACAATATTATTATGTAGATTAAATTAAAAGAAGAATTGTATAAAACAATTATCTTTGAAATGCACCGTAATCTTAGGATTGCTTAAAAGGAGACACTGTGTATGCTCTAGCCTTTGATCATATACCCTTTTATCACTTCGTGGCTATCAGTGTTATCTCTCTAAATTTAATGATCTGTATGCAATAAATGAAAATATTTCCTATAGCATCCATTGGTATGAATTAAAAAAATGTTTTTATAAAGAATGACCCAGTAAAGGTCAAATATAATGAGAATATATTGTTATTGTTTCTTCTACGACATTATATAATGTTTCTTTTCTACAAATAAGAAGAGAAATACTCGGGGACATGCTATCAAATATCTTAAACAAAAGCAACCAACAACATACATATAAATATCTGAAAAAAGCAGAATAAATAAATTAGAGTATAGCCGATACCATATCTATTAATATATGATGTACATAAGAAAATATGTGTTTATTCTCTTTTAAACAATGAACCTCAAAACGTAGACATGTTCCCAGTTTTTTCCAGTAGTCTTATGGTCACATAGGATACAAGGAAAAGTTGATGAGACAAAAGAACATAAAAATGAGAAGTAAAAAAAATAAAAAATAAAAAAGTTATACCATGGTAAGCAATTCTATACTCAATTACTTTGATTTAATTACATTAATTTGAGTACTTTTTCCTACTTAACATTCTTCTTTCAATCAACAATGACAAGTTAAAAATCATAGTGGACTGAAGAGTTAATGGTCACCAAATATACAGGTAGGAGAAACCATCTTATAATATTTGCATTTTAAAATTCTTGATTGTTTCAAAGCTCAAATTATAAAGATATTGTAGTTGTACCAAATAATCAATTACTGCATTAGTAAAATTTAAAGTTTTATCTCAATTTATTAATATGAAGCCAGTATTAAAATGCTAATTAAAATAATTTATAAAGTGCCTGAAACATAGAAAATAGATTTTAATTTAAAAATTCAGAGAGATAAAGGAAACCTCCAAGGAGAATTTTCTTTCCTCCCCTCTTTATGATATGCTGATCAACGCAATATAATTCTAGTAGGACTAATTTAGCTAGTTCTGACTTTCCTTAGCAATCTAAACCCAGAATCAGCTTCATACAGCTAATTATAATTTTACATGCCAAAAATATTTAACCTGAAGATTTGGCCCACTAAAGTACTCAACATTCAATGAACTCCTAGATTGTCTAAGGCTAAGAAGCCTAGATAATCCTAGGTTGTCTAAGGCTAATTGTATATTGGCTAAGAAGCCAATATACAATTATAAACTAGTGTATAATTCAAACTACAATAATTCAAACTAGTCACTCATTACTAATCGGGGAACTCTAATAGCATCTAAGGAGGAATCAACAGCATAAATAAATTTCCACAGTGATTCTACTTTAACACAGCTGCCAAAGAGCAGAGCACAAATTCAGAGTCCCAATTTTGGCTTCACTATTAACTACGTGTGTTGCTGTTGGACAAGATTATTATGAACTTCAGTTTCCTTACCTGTGAAATAGAAATACTAATAGCTATATTATGGTGCCATTGCAAGTATTACAAATCACTTACAGTATTTTTGCAAATAGTGAACTGTTAAATAAATGTCAAATTTCATCACAATTTTAAACACAGATGATATAAATAATACAATTTTATCATTACTCCAAATTAAATAATCTATGTATAGTAAAAAATTTTAGGCTGTTTGTTTTAATAGATTTTCTTTTATCTTTTGAAAATTTATTTGAATATTAGGGAATATTACTTGGAACCTCAAGTCTTTAAAAATTCCTGATAGATGGTAACAACTTATTTGGTGATATGTAACTGATTTTATCAGAAAAGAAATCTTTAAAATCGTAAGATAACCTTGCAGAGATATAGGAAATCTAGATGATTATTCTAAGAAATAACTATCATGGATTAAATTAAAATTCCTCATCCAGGAATTAAGTAATGAAGGACAGCTGTCTTATACTTCTTCCCCCTTTTTTTTTCTAGTCTTATACCTACTCTGTCTCTATATACATTTAAAAGACAGATTGCAGGAATCCATAGAACAAGAACCTGAGGTGTGCATCACGAAAGGCTGCCTATGAAGAAATCCAGATGTAAAAGCTTAGATATCTACGTCTATATATCTTAGCAATGGCTTTTAGAGCCATCTCTGAGGTCATCCTGATTCATTATTCAATATTACCACTTTAGCTTTTTTTAGACAGAAACAACAAAACAAGTAGATACGGTCGTGGGGCAAACCCTGAGCATTATTTAAGTGGCATCAAATGCAAATTTCAAAGAAGTGAAAGCTGTCAGCTTATTTCATGTACTACCCTCCAACACAGGGCTTCTCTGTGTTCCAGCTATTGAAAAAGTGAGAAATTTCTTCATGGTGCATGAAACAGATAGAACCCCACTGCTCCCCAAAAAAGTCCAAATCCCTGGGGCCTGTTAGTTTGTTACTTCATATGGCAAAACAGACTTTGCAAACGTGGTTATGAGACAAGAAACTTCAGAAGAGTTCTTGAGAGAAGAAACTTCAGAACAGTTAGAGAGATAAAATGTTTGACTTCAAAAAATGGAGGAAGGGGGCCTCTGGCCAAGGAATGTCCTCTAGAAGCTGGAACATACAAGTGAATGGATTATCTCGTAGAATTTCTAGAAAGAAATATAGCCCTATCCACACCTTGATTTTAGACCACTGAGACCTCTGTTGGACTTCTACGTAACCGTAAGGCAATAAAATTGTGTCGTTTCAATCTACGAAATTTACAGTAATTTTTTACAGCAGCAATAGTAAACTAATACAGTGTAAAACTGTCCTGAGCAGTCAGATAACTGGCATCCTTGCCCCTTTACATCTAATGCCAGAAATATACTCCTTGGTTACTGCCACAGCTGAAAAGTCCCTCCAGGTTTCCAAGTGCCCTCAGGTAGTAGAGTACTAGGCCTGGCTGAAAACCACTGCATGAATGGACAGTAACTTGTAATAAAAATTGATAATGATACAATTAAATTCAAAGGTAAAAATTAAAATATTTTGATAAAACATAAACCTTTAATTAATTTCTAAACTTTATTTCCTATCATCAATAAAACTTCTGCATCAAAACCATTTCACACTATATTGTTTACATCTTTCAGTGAAATCTGTGGCAAGCAATTTTATTTTCAGCTTCCAGGACAACACAAACCCATTTATCAAGGCAGCCATTAAGAAACCATTGCTAGAAGAGAATCCAATGGAGGCCCAAAGGAAGGAGAGATGTATTTTGACCCTAAAGATATATGAACACTATTTTAAAACTATTTAAAAATAAATGTAGCATGATTAACATTAAAAGCCCAGACAATTTTGAATTGTGTTGATTCTTAATTTCATATACAAAATAAATAAATAAAAGATTTATTTCATTCTCCTAAGTAGTTGATCAAGCAATTTTACAATAGCTATTTTAAAATGCTATAACTAATATTTTTAAATATTAAATTATATATCATTTACATCTTACAAACATAACCCATGTTAATCATAGTTGTATAGTTTTTCAAACAGCAAGACTTTAGGTAAGCTCTAATAAGCAACATCAAATTTCAAAATAACATAGTGAAGTGTTAACCACTCAGTTAAAAAATATGAGCCAAGAATGCTGGCGTGAACACACGAACTGTTCCTTGTTTTCTCCTTAAAATATTATCTTATAAACCAGTATGAAAGTGAAAGTTTAAAAATTACTCATATTTTACTGATGTTAAGTATGACAGATTTTAACATGTATTTAGAGTTTCAAATTTTCAAAAATTTTAAAACTTAACTTTTAATTAAATTTATGTAGTTTTTGGCAGTTTCCTTAGTTTACTAAAGTTTCAAGAACTCTGGATACCCTCCGGTAAACTAAGCAGAAAAAAATTAAAATGTTGTTACATGCTTTGTTTCAAACCTTGATATAAACAAAATACTTTATGCGCTAATCTATTAAATATTTATTATTTTAACTATAAGTAATAAATACATCATCTTATAAAAATACATATGCTCCTCACTCTTCATAGGAATAGGCAATGCGTTCTATTTTCTAAGTAATTTATTCTCTATTAATCAGATAGAAATAAAGATAACCTCATAACCACTTTGTCCTAAAAATAAATAGCACTTGATCTATACTGTGAAATATTCTTAATCAGCTTCAGGCAATAAATAAGTCAGGAAACTAGCACTATAATTTTATTTATCTCCATGCTTATTATGCAGTCAGATGATTTTCATCACAAAGGTCTAATATACTTTCATCTTCACAGAAAAATATAAATGTCCTTTGAAATCAAACAGACCTTCCAAAGACATCAGTCAGTCCATTGTGAAAATATTACAGCTTTGTCACTTTCACCCAAGAGATTTCTGTCAGTCGCCAATCTGGTGTCACTATAGAATTACAGCTACAGTACACTATCAATGCCTGCTGTGTCCTTTGGGAAACAAAGCTTTTTTGGTTGAACTTTATGATTTAGTCCCAAAGGCAGAAGAACAAAGCTTTGAAAAGCATACAGAACAAAGTCTTATAACATTCTAAACAGACAAGATAGAATCTATTTGCAATTTTTTGGTGTATTATAGATTAAATTGAATATTAAACAAATTTGTTTAGCCCATAATTAGTATTAGCTATCTATTTTGTTTGCTGCAATAAAATATATTGTTTCAGAATTTTCAAAAGTATGTTTCCATTTTTAGTGTGCTTTTTGCTTTATTGCGCAATTATCATTATCATGATGACTCCCTTTATAAAGATACTACAGGTAAAAGGAATAAATCTTTCCTCCTTTCTGTTCTTAAAAGCATAGTCCCAAAGATCACCTCTTAAGGCTGTGTTATTTCAAATTTTATGATAAAATATTAATGAAAAAAATAAATATAAATTCCATTTTCAATGTCTTTTTTTCTATCGCTTTACTACTACAATTTCAATGATAAGGATAACCTAAGTTTAGAAAGAGTTACTTGGGTGAGAGTAATGCACATTTTTTTTCAAACAGAAGGTGTTATATGTGCATTCTATTACAGGAAACATTTTTCATGCAGCAGAACAATTTTTTTTCTTCTAGATATGGTCAGATATTATATATCTTGAATCCCGAATCATATTTTTTCTTTTCTATTATATTTCCCCCTAGACTTAGTCTTTTCTAGTTCAGTCACTTAGAAAACCATATTGACTTGCGACCTCCAAAAGAAGGGGCTTCTCATTAATGACTACATATTACTTGCAACGTTAAGGGGAATAGGTCTGTTTTCTACTAGTCAATTAAACAAATCCAAAGAAAGAGACCAATCAGCACAGGACTATTTTGTTTCTATAGAACAGAGATGCTCCCTGATCCCATTCTACTAGGATTAAATCTTCGATAACATGCAAAAATGATATTTAAAGTAAAATATTTAGATTTAACATGAATTAGAGCATTGAGGAAAAATTATATGATTATTTGGAGATGAACACAAATTAAGCTCATGTATACACAAACTATTTTTCTCTTAATTTATAAAAGAGGGTCAGTTCTGTTCTATCTGGAAATTACACATTTTATATACATTTATACTATAGCCACAACTTTACTTCTATGTGAATAAATGCAAGAATTAAAGAATCTAATAAGCAAATTGCCTCATAAACTTGAACACTTGTTTTTCTTTCTTCATTTGAATATTTAGTAAAGTTAAGGATAAGGGATTTTTACTGATTGTTTTCTTATTTTATATTTAACCATGACTAGTCACTATAAGGTTTTGGGATTCAGAAGTTAAAAATGCCCTTAATGATTAAGGTTCTGCTAATTTAGCAAAAATATAGAAAGTGTAATGAAAATCCTCAAAGGTATAATAGGATGCTGCATTTTTAGAAAATACCATTTTGCTAGAGCATTTAAAATATCAGGATGTGAGCAATTTTTCAGCATTTTAAGAATTATACTTTCATTTGATTGAGAAACCTGGGACTTGCTTTGAGTCAGTTTTCTCTCTCTGTAGATCTACATATTGATTTGCAACCAACATTGTGTGTATGGCTATGTGTGTGTACATATGTACGTCTGTTCCTTTACCACAAAAATAGAACTTCTTGTAATAACTGGTGATCATCTGTGATATGATTCTTATAGTGGCTCAAAGCCTTGCCTCCACAAAATATATTTCCAAAGCAGCAGGTAAAATTCCTACCATTACAGAAATAAGTTAATTTGGAGTAAATCAATTCTAGAGTAACTTTAAATCATGCATGCTTTAATATATTCCAGTGGCACATTAGCAGAGATCAAGATCCAAATACAAGATTAATTATCTACACTGCACTCCCCAATCTGGAGGTCACTAGCCACATGTGGCTATTCAGCACTTGGAATTTGGCCAGTTCTGGAAATGGAAAACACACAGATTTCAAAGACATTAAGATGAAAAATGGTCTGTAAACGATCCCATTTATTAATATATTAAAGTTATTTTAGATGTATTGATTGGATAATTAAATTGATTTCAACTTTTTCTTGTTACTTTTTTAATGCTACTAGAAAATATAAAATTATATATGTGGCTCACATTGTGTTCTCATCGGGAAAATATGTCTATGCACTTGAAAAACTGATACAGCTTACAGAGAAAAGGACAGTGAGTCAGAATAAGCACTTCAGAATATGCCTAGGAAACAATAAACTAACAAACAGAAAGAAAAACGACAGCTTTGGGGCGTAGAAGGCACTGGCTGCTGGTCATTCTATAAATATCTGGAGGTTTTTATTTTGTTTTTGTTATTTTAATAATATAGTAACTGAATGGATAAGTAGGAAACAGCATGAGACTGAGGAACAGGGACCTAGTCTCATCTCTGGATGCATGTTAAGGAGCACCTGGGAAATTTTTAGAATATCCCTACCTGAGGCCGGGCCCAGTGGCTCACGCCGGTAATCCCAGCACTTTGGGAGGCCGAGGCGGGCGGATCACCTGAGATCGGGAGTTTGAGACCAGCCTGGCCAACATGGAGAATCCTCGTCTCTCCTAAAAATACAAAAGTAGCCAGGCGTGGTGGTGCATGCCCGAAATCCCAGCTACTCGGGAGACTGAGGCAGGAGAATCGCTTGAACCCGGGAGGCGGAGGTTGCAGTGAGCTGAGATGGCGCCATTGCACTCCAGCCTGGGCAACAAGAGCCAAACTCCGTCTTTAAAAAAAAAAAAAAAAAAAAAAAAAAAAAAGGAATATCCCTACCTGAGTCCTGTGCCCACAGATCCTAATTTAAATGGTCCAGGCTGGGACACTGAAGCTTTTTAAAATATCTCCATGCGTGTATAAAAGAGGTTTGAGCCAGAGTTTTACCCGGACCTCAGAATAAGAGTGAGATACATATGTGCTTCATCTTATGAGCCAATGATCTGACTCCCTGAATGCTGTTATTGAGGATTTGGAAGATGCATTAGAATTTGGAAGAATCTAGTTCTGTGGCGGATCAGCAACATCTTCCATGGGATAATGGAATGGGAAATAGTGTTAACTGTTTCAGGAATGTATCATCCGGGTCCACATATTCACGTATGTGATTTCTAACTATTTTTAACCGCATTAATGCCAGGTCTAAACTGAAAGTAATTTATAATTGATCACCACCCCTCATGCCACCAAGGGCCCCTTAAAAGCCCTTCCTGGATTCCTTTCCTCCCAATCTGCATAAGTGACAACTTTTCATCATTCCAGGTGCTGCTTAAAATCATCTCCTTAGCAAGTGCTTGCCTAATGAACCAATGTGTAGCAGTCATAGAGTCACTTGACTACTTTGCCCTAATTCAAGACATTGCAGAGCTTGTTGCTAGAGATATTATCCTTCCTTATTTACTTAATTTGCATAAAGGGTCTCCACAACCAGAGGTAAGACTCATGAGAAAATATAAGTCTCTGCTTCACGGCTACATACCTCAAAAAGTACCGGCATGGTAGAAACACTGAATAAACATGTGCTTAAAATAAATAGTACTTTTTAAGCTGGTATTGACTTTGAAGCTGAATGTTTTATTTGGAAGGATGGTAACAGTTTTTTTAAAAAAAATCTTTTCTTAAATAATAATCTTCTCTTAAAAAAATTTTGAATTGTTCCTAAATGAATTATACTTCCCAGCAAAGGAAAATCTTTACAAGGGTTTTCCTGATGTCAAACTCTAATTTATTGAGATCCTATGGATGCTGTAATGATTTCAGGTGCTGATTTTTACTTTTTTTTCTTTCTTTTGAGGCAAGGTCTCACTTGGTTGCCCAGCTCACTGCAGCCTCACTCTCCCACACCCATTCTCCTATCTCAGCCTCCCAAGTAGCAGGTACTCCAGGTGCATATTACCACACTTGGCTATTTTTTTTTCTTACTATGTTCCCAGGCTAGTTTCAAACTCCTGAGTTCAAGTGATCCTCTGGCCTCGAACTCCCAAAGTGCTCGAACTCCCAAAGTGCTCGAACTCCCAAAGTGCTGATATTACAGGTATGAAACACCATGCCTGGTCCCTAATTTTTACTTCTGAAATCACAGACCTTCTAATATTTCTTCCAAAATGTTTGACTTTGAGCTACTTCACTCATGATTAAAAGTTGTATCAGAGAGTGGGCTAAGCCTATAGAGATTAAATCCAAATTAGACATTTTTGCATTGTCTTAAAAATACAAATAAGACGTAATGAGAAACAATGCTGAAACTGTATAAAATCCAAAATTATATATTACCTTAATCCTCATTACCATAATCGTTCTGTCGTTATTTCAATTATAAATTAATAAACTCCTACTCATTCTTTCTAAATCCCGGAAGTCTTTTGAGCATAACCAAAATCTTAAGTCGCATATAAAATATAACTTTGGGTAAGGAATGAGGAGAAAAATGTATTATACTATGACTTTGAGTTAAAACAGTCCATTTTCAAATGTCTTATCTTTAAAATATATCTAATTTGGTTAAAATATGTAAAATATCTATTTACAGAACTTTTAGAAAGACAAACTGTATCATGTTAATTAAATGCTATATAGCTGTGAATGATTCCTCCTAAGACGTGACTTTCCTCTATCTTCTTTGGAACTACTGTTTAATACATTTAAAAGAGATGTGGTAAATGTTAGGAGACATTTGAGGAGAGGTGAATCAAACTCTCACCAATGAATGGTTTGAGATTTTATTAGACTGGATCATCACTGGAAGAAAGCAATTGCTGTGATAAAATGCTTTTGAAACACACAAAAATATTAGGAGATACCAGGAAAAATATTTACAGAGTGAAGTATTAATGTGATTGTATATGTATAAAGTACCTTTTTACATTTTCTAAAGCAGTACATCTAAAAATGTATTCCGTAAGTTCTGTTACTTCAAAGGCTATTTGGTTACACTATGGACTTCCACATGCCTTTTTACACTGATGTAGGCTTCTATGTTAGCTGGATCCTTAGTTTCATCCCATAATTGCATGCTGTATTTTTTAAATTAACTTTTTAATATAGGCCAAATAGCTTAAAATAACACTGCAAGCTCTTTATTACATGGTCTTTCAGCTGCATTTCATGCCATCAGGGTGTTTCACTTTCCAAAAGGAAGAGATTTAAAGCAATAAAAATTTTATTACTGTTGATAAATAATTCTTACTAGAAATAAACTATAGTTAGATTGTCTCCCTAACATAGTCTGCTTATATGTGCAAAAGAGGAAAGGGTAGAAGTATAAAGGGAATAAAATCGTCCAAAGGAATCTCTATCTAAGAGCATTAATTTAGTATTTGAAAACATTGCCATATGTCATATCTTCTACTCCCAGCAACCCCATAGACAATTAAAAAATAAATAAATGTGTTCCAGTTCTTGAAAGACTTAGAGTCCTCCCATGGAAACAATTAAGGAATGAAACAGAGTCAATACTGAGCTGTCAATTACATATTTTTCCAAGTAACATATTTTTAAAAGGAAAATTATAGAATTCGAATTAATATAATACATTTGTTTAAAAATACAAACCCAATAACATATATTTATGCCTATTCTTTAAGTGAATCAATAAAACTGCCCAGCTTTAAGGTCACCTGCCTTATATGCCTTGAGGCTTATCTGGTTTTAGAAGAGTAATAAGTAAGCGATTCACTGCCTGGTTGGATTTTAACCAGAGAGAGGAAAGTATCAAAGAGAATGCCCCACAATAAAGCACTTTAATGTGATAATTGAACTACTAGATAAGATAGATGAAGTGATTATTGACTATGAGAAGCTTTCCATTCTGTAGAAAATGACTTTGGATAAGAGGCCTCCAGAGTTACAGAGAGGTTATATTTTGGTTCTTTAATGGTGAGAAAAAAAGGACACTAGGAGACTACTATAGTACATGGAGCATAAGTGAACAAATAAAACTGCTCATTTCTCCCCCCTAAAATTTGAAATGCTTACCATTAAAAATTAATTAAAGGTGAAAAAGATAGTGTAAACATATGTATTTATGTGCAATTCTGTCCAATAGAATTATAAAAGGACAATCAAATGTTTTTATATAAACTACTCAGAAGTATCAAAAATTTCAGGTTAAAAAGGGTTTCCTCCCAAAATGCGTAAATGCATTATAAAGTAAACATATTATCTACGGAAACAACAACCTACTTTTTCACACCATAAACGTGTTAGTGATAATGTTGTAATATACTTTAAAGTTATCATAGAAATAATGGAAAGTACAGTTTTTCTAAAAATAAGATAAAACTGATGAGTTCACAATTTCTCACAGAAAAACTTAGCTTAAATAAAATTATACTATCATTTTAAGAGCAAACAAAATTAGCAGTTTCTCTGTTACATTTCCACCCCGAGCACCCCAAAAAGTGCTTTCTTTGTCACAGAATTCACAATCTGTGAATTGAACTCTTATTCCCTATTTCTTGTTGCCAAAGGATTTTGGATTTCTCTCCACCCTACTCAATCTCTCTAACAAGGGAAACCAGGAACAACACCTCAAACCTTCTGAGGTATACAATTTAGATTCTCATATAGCAAAGAAGGCATGATGGACTAAATGGTCTCTGAAATTTTACCAATAGAGTCAAGAGAATTTGATTAAGCACTGTCTTTTGATTTACCTCTCACCAGCTGCAGGGATTATTTAAACCAATGTCCTTGGTGCTCTAATTTCCACCTTTTTAACCAGAATCAGCTTATCTACTTCTTTGAATTAATTAACCCTCTTGCTCCTAAGACTCATCTATTATGGTATAGAAAGAGCTTGGGTTTAAAATGTAAACAGATCGTAATTTAACTTGTGTCTTGGTTACTTACTAACTATACCCTTTGATCATAACTATATATTCTGTGCCTTAATTTTTGCCATCTGAAATTATAATAATAATAATACAGACTACAGTTAGAAGATGACAAAATAAATACGTGAGAGTTTCTGTGGTTGATACATACTAAGGATACAAAATAAACATTTTCTAACTGAATGAACTCCACCTTATTCAAGGATATTTACTTCTAACCAGGGCTTAGAGAACGAATCTCAGTTTCTAACAGTGAAATCTTAAGCAACAAATACTGAAATGTGTACAAAATGTGTACAAAATTTTTTGGCACAAGGTAAGTTTCTTCAAATCTTCCACATCACTTTACCTGCTCTTAAGGCTAAATGCGGCTGTCTCCCACTCTCTGGGACTATTAAAGTCGGTTTTGTCTGGAGTTTCCACATCTAACAATTTTTTTCAGTAATTAGGCATCTTCTTGATCATATATACCTCTTGAAAAGCACAGTCAAGGAGGGAAATTAAAATTAATTGAGAATTATGACCATAATGGCAAAATAACATTTAATGAAAATGAGTTACATTCATTGGCTGAGGCCATAATGAGATTATTTTCCCAAAGCAGAGTCTTGAAGAAAAATGAATAACTAATTCGGGGGCAAAAAGTCTTAAGGAGAATATACATGTATCTCTAAAACCAAACATCATAACTTAATTCACTATAGGTAGTGGTATATTTTTTCTGCAGAATCACTCCAGAAAACAATAGAAGTTCATAGCAAACACTCTCAGGGGAAGAAAAACCTTTACAATTACAATCTTAATATTTATCTTCCTCTTAAAAGAAATACAATGCATGTGATCATGGCTTAAATGAAATGCAGCAGGTTGCTTCAAAGCATGTTCATCGCATTATGCTTAATGTCTTTGTTTGTTTCTTGAAAAGAAGGGTATCCATAGGTCCTCACCGGAAGTAAGGCATAGAATTTGAATACTATACTAAATTCTTTCCAGCCTTAAATTTAGATCATGCTATAGTGCAGTCCCTTAAAATTATATCTGTAAATAATTTGATGAAAGTTTCAAACTGTAAGAATGTTTCATTTTGTTTGTAACATTTTCATTGGTCCATTCCACATTTACAAATGACATCTCACCTTTCTTTTTTACAACATATATTACTAAAAAGAACATAACATCTATGGGCAATATGCTGCAGGAATACTTTTTTTTTTTTTTTTTTTTTTTTGAGACAGTGTCTCACTCTGTTGCCCAGGCTGGAGTGTAGTGGCACAATCTCGGCTTACTGCAACCTCCGTCTCCCAGGTTCAAGCAATTCTCCTACCACAGCCTCCTGATGCGTAGCTGGGATTACAGGCGCCCACCACCACACCCAGCTAATTTTGTATTTTTAGCAGAGACGGGGTTTCACCATGTTGGTCAGGCTGGTCTCGAACTCCTGACCTCGTGATCCTCCCGCCTCAGCCTCCCAAAGTGTTGGGATTACAGGCATGAGCCACCGCACCTGGCCAGGAATACTTTTATTTTTTAAAGTGGGTAATTACAATTGAACTTGAATGCAAAAAACAAAGAACTTGCTCACAAACTAAGGTCCTGAGCACCTAAATGCTTATGACAGTGATCCTACATAATGCAAGGAATTTGGCATTTGGAATATGAATGAATATGTATATTTTAGAAACTTCTCAAAATAATATTTCCCCAAACTTGGTTCATAGACCACCTTCATCAGAATCATGAAGGCTGATTTCTTGTCCCCAAGTACAACCCCCTAGATCAGAATCTCTAGGCATGGATCTTAGATGTCTGCATTTTGAACAAGCTGATTGAGTAAATCGCTTACTTCGAAATGCCCGTTTATAGACAAAGAGACAACAGACCTAATTAATCCAGCAGTGGATGGGAACCTCATGAACACAAATTAGATAACACTTAAAACTTCTCACCCTAGGCCTGAGGCCCTGCAGGATGCAGTCTCTTTGCATCTCTCCAGCTTTCCCCAGCCCGTGCTTCCCATTTTCTGCTGCACATGCTTGGGCCACACTTGCCAGCCTCCTTCACAAGCCTAAATTCTGATTAACCTAAAGCCCAAAGTACACCCTCTACCACCTCCTTTCCTAACAATGGCCAGACCTTGATCTCATACCCTTGTCCCCCGCTCCTCCCCCCAACCCCCCCACCCCGGCTAACATGCGTGTTCATATGAATTCTTTGTTAACAAACATCTTTACTTACATATAATTTACATACAATAAGCTGCAACTACTGAAAGTGATTCACAGGTTTAGATTTCTGTCACCCTGGAAAGAAACCTCCTTCACATGACGGTCACTTCACATCCTACTTTCCCCTCCCTAGCCCTATGTGGCCAGGAATCTCCTCTCCCCTGTGCTCGTTCTGGATGTTTATATGAATGCCAGCTGTGTAGATGTCCATCATGGCACTTGCAGCTGTGTTGCAACTACCTACTTACACATCTGCCTCTCTAACCAGACTTACAGAAACTCAGCTTCCAGGGTCTCACATTGTGCCTGACACTTGAAGAATAATCAAGAAATACTGGATTAATTAATAAATATCTCTTTTTCCTCCTTTTCACAGGCAAGGAGGGGCAGAACTTGCATGTGAAAAGGAGGAAATGCAACACAGAAAACTGTGCTTTACCTAAACTGGGGGTGGGGAGTTAAGTTCCGACAGGAAGGAAGGAACTGGATGAACCAAGAAGTCAAAATTAAATACTTTCCAAAGTAGCACTGATCTGGCAAATTTGGCATTAGCAGTGTTTAATATGAGACCAACTGTCCATGAGATTTCCTGTGATACATAAGCACTCCTTCTACATGTCAGAGAAAACTAACCATTTTCTGCTCTTGTCCTTTACCTCCTTTCTGAGCACCTCTTGCAGCCCGTGTACTCTTCCTTGGTGCAGGGTCAACGGGTTGCCCAAAGTTTTCTTCTGCCAGGTATACTAATTTCGAAAAGAAATACTCCTTTCCTCTAGTCTTACTCAAAATTTCTACTGCCTGAGAGCTATTTACATCACAGTGAAGTGATTCTGAACACGTTAATCAATAGGCAGAATTGGTTAAAAGATTAGGCAAGTATCGGTCATTTAATTAAAATCCAATAGCACATACTCTTGA
This sequence comes from Homo sapiens, assembly GCF_000001405.40. Lineage (NCBI taxonomy): Eukaryota > Metazoa > Chordata > Mammalia > Primates > Hominidae > Homo > Homo sapiens. The sequence continues at coordinate 180,076,971 of NC_000004.12, read as the reverse complement.
AGAATCCTCAGAGTGAAGCAGGTAAATCATTAAATCGCCCAAAATACCACGGGGGTCGGGGGAACGAGGGACGGGTGAGGGGCAGTTACTGTTAACATTTTTCTGAACATACTTTATGGCAGCTCTCTCTGATGACATATACATGTATGTATGTATGTGCATGTGTGTGTGGGCGTGTGTGTGTGTGTAAACTTACTTTTGCGATCCATTGTACAGAGTTTTTCATTTCTGTGAATACAAATCAACAGCATCCATGGATGGCTGCATGGCATTCCACTGTTGAACATTACATGATTCATCTCTAAACAGTCTCTTATTCCTGGACATTTAGGTTATTTTACTTTTTCTCCGGGTAGTATAAACAATTCTAAAAAGACTATGCACATTTATCTTTGCACAATTAGTTTTCTTACTAAAACAGATGTTTATAAAGAAAATTTCTGTAACAGAGAATATCCAGGTTTTATGTTTTGATCAATACGGTAGAACTACCCTGCAGAAAGACTGCATACCTTTGTGCTCTGATCAACAGTGTATATGTGTCTATTTCCCTACACACAGGAAACAATTGCATTTTCATAATATTTTCAGATTTTACAATAAGCATAAAGCAAATCATGGCCTTCTGACACTTCTCTGTCATACTGGAAAATCAGCCTTTTATTAACCTTTTTTTACAAGTGATGACTGCAAAACAACTTCTGAAGCTTTCATCATCCTTGACCATCTCTCTATCTCTGACCTCTATCCTTCCCCAAATCCATGCCCCACCTTAGTTCCTTAAACTGGAGTCATGGAGGCTGTGGAAAACACACATTCCCTAACAATCAAAAGTATAGAAATTGTAATGGTCTATTTTTTAAGCAAAATAGAAATACAATATTCATATTTCATTTGTATTTCTTCAGTTACTAGGAACTTTAAGTATATATTTATTGATCCTTTGTATTTCTTTTCTGAAGTCCTGTATCTATTTGCTTTATAAGAATAAATATTCTTGGTTGTTAAGGTAGTTATTCCACCGATATTAAGAATCTTTGTGATCACATATTAACTTTCTATATATATGTAGACATATATATTTCTAGACCCTCTATTATTTCCATTATCTTATTATCTTAAATAATATAAATTTATAATGAATCTCAATATCTATTAGGGTATAATCCCGCTTCCAATATTGCCTGACAGTACTTTTCTTGTTTTATATATTTTTTTCAGAGGTACTTTAAAATCACTTGACAAATTAAAAATCCTAATAGGTTTTTGCTTGAATTTACATTGAATGCATAAATTTTTAGTGATTTCATATCACTGATGTTTTAAACTTCCTCACTGTAGCAGCAGAAGTATTAGTAGAAACAGTCAAATAATTAGCAAATGGTAACTAAATGTTGAGTATGTATAAGATGATTTCCAAACACTTAAGATCATGGAATATTTTTTAGTATTGTCATTACTTTGTAGATAGGAAAACTAAGCTACAGAATATTTAGAAAACTTGATAAATGGTCAAATAATCAGTAAAGACTAGAGCTAGAATTCCACTCAAGCATTTTGAAAAGAGATCTCATATAATGATAACTCTGCAATTGAGATACATCCTTCCATTAAAGTACTAATGTTTTACAAATTAAAAAAAATATTTTTTAACCCAGGGCCTGTACAGGTCTTGTTGAATTTGTATCTACACTTTTTATGTTTTTAGCTGCAGTTTTTAATTATTAGATTTCCTTATATTTTCAAAATTTTTGGCATCATAAATACTATCAATAATTTGTTTTGTAAACATCTAATGTACTTAATGCTAATTGTTTCTGAACATATTTTGGTCACTTCAGGTTTTTAAAAATAAATAATAATATTGTATTCTTATTTCCAATTTTTATACCTCTGAATTCTTTTTATTTTCTAATTCGTTTGCCTAATAATTCAATAAAAATAAAGTTTTTATTAAAAATAGACATTAAAGTTAACTAAATGCCTTTTTTTTTTAGATGGATTCTCACTCTGTTGTCAACCTAGAGTGCAGTGGCACCATCTCGGCTCACTACACTGTCCACCTCCCAGGTTCAAGTGATTCTCCTGCCTCAGCCTCCCGAGTAGCTAGGACTACAGGCACTTGCCACCACCCCCGGCTAATTTTTGTATTTTTAATAGAGATAGGGTGTCACTATGTTGACCAGGCTTGTCTTGAACCCCTGACCTCGTGAACCTCCCACCTGGGCCTCCCAAAGTGCTGGAATTACAGGCGTGAGTCACCATGCTGGCCACTAAATGCCTTTTTCAATAATCATATAGATTTTTCCAATTTTAGTGTCATTGATCATATTGATTTATAAAATTAATTAGGATAATTTTCTTCTCTCTTTCTAACCTCCAGCACTTAAAATGGCATAGGCTTCTTGACCACAGAAGAAATTCAAGAATAAAATTTTCTAGCCACAGTACTTATTTTTAGGATAGCTCAAAAGCTATCTTCCTACTGGAAAACTTACAGTTTTAATCACTTACTGAGCCAATTCTTCTAATTTATAGCCCCCTGAAATATTATTAATTTGATGCACATTTTCTTGCTGTCATTTCTGATTCTATTTGTTTTCACAATTTTTGATCAAGCAAGTGTTCTGTATTTTATTTATTGACTTCAGGGAACAGGTTTCTGAATTTATTTTCAAATTCTGCTTTCCCTCCTAGTTCATTAATTTATGTTTTTATATGTACTAAATCATTCATTCTAATTGCATAAATTTTGTTGTGCTGATATTTTTCAGATGTTTAACTAATTCATCTATTTTATTTTTATTTAGTTCCTTTATATTATGGTTTCATATACAATCATAGATTCCATATGTAGCATATTTTTACTGCTATTTTCTAAATAATCTGGAATTATAGTTTTAGTTTCTTCTTTTTGCATATGTTATTTCTTAATTTGTTACATTATTTTTATACCAGAGACTAGTCTATCATTAGAAATTTGTCATAATTTACTGAGTTTCTGTGTGTGTGTGTTTCTGTGTTTCGCTAAGCATATGATAACATAAACAGTATATGTGATATATTGTCAAGTTTGCTTGTCAATACACTTTGCTTCTTTGCTTGTATAGTACAGAGCTTGCTCACCTCTTGAATGATATTTATTAATCAGTACAATCATTCTTGCCACAATTTAATTCTTGTGTATTAGTTTTTCATAAATTAAATAAATTAGCTAAACTCAACTATTCTTCGTGTTTCTCTCACTTTTTCGCTGTATATTTATCAATTTTGTTACATATTTTAATTGTATATAATAATTAAGATGATATTAGATACTGATATTTTTTGTTGAGGTTTCATAGGGAGAATTTCAGAGTATCATCAAAAACTCTTCTCCCCCATTTCCACTTACTTTCCAAGAAATATATAAAATTTTGTGTTTGCATCCAAATGAAATCTACAGCTATGAAAATAGTTAAAATAAAGCCATTAAAAATTCAGCAAAAGAGCAACGAATATTTTAAACCATAAATCACATATTGGGAAGTGTGAGATGTGTCTTGAATTAATGTGCACTTTTTATCATAACAGTGTCCTTGAAATCTGCATCATGGAGTGATAATCTAGTCAGAGTATATCAAATTGAGTTTCTCATACTTTAGTATTTAAACTGTAAAAATGGGAGTCTAAGAAATAATTTATATTCAATTTTCTTTTTTACAGTGCTGTGATTTCAAAGGTTACATGACTAATGTTAGTTTCCAACATTGTTCTGCAAAGAATAAAAGCTTTGTGCTAACTAAAGAATATTTAAAATTCACTGAACTCAAGATATACATACCAGTTTCTGGTCCCCACCCACCCACCCACCCAATTTAAATAACTGCATCTATTGAGAAAGAATGAGACAAGAATGAAAATAAAGAGAGCACCATTTTCATATGCCAGAAACTGTGCCAGAGTTGCCCTGTTCTATATAAGAGCCAATAAGAGGTTATTTAAATTTAAGTTAATTAAAATTAAATACATTCCAAGGGGAAACTATGTGGCTAGTGGCTACTGTTTTGAGTAGCATAGGTAGAGGACAATCCCAGAATCACAGAAAGTTCTTTTGGACGGCACTGAGGGCAGTTATTTTTCTTCCCAAGAATAATGAAAAATAATTTCTTTTTATTCATCATTTCAGATGGGACAACTGAAGTTCAGAAGAAAAAATAAACAGCATATTCAAGTTTAGAATATTAGTAACTGGTGAACCAACGACTTTATGTCAGTTCAGTTTGGTTTCTGAGCCTCTGCTTTTTCCACTTAATATGTAGAACTGACTGACAGAAAGAAATCCTTAACATTAGGAATAGCTCATGGAAGGCCCCTCCCTGAGCTGAACACAGCCTCAAAAATCTCACCAGAGGTAGCACTGGCACAACTTGTCCCTGGAATATTTATCCTTGTCCTTTCTATATTCCTTGTCTTACACTAGATTCTCTGAACTGTGCTGAGTTCTTACTAGTGTGTACATTTTTGAATTAAGTTCACATTGCAACTCAGGTTTCTCCATTACCTCTTACCTCTAGCAAAAATTTAGCTACTGTGCCAAATAGTATATTTATATTTTATACTACCTAATGAGACAACTTCTGCAGGTGACACAGTCTAAATGTCATGTCCAAACTTAACCCTTTAAGTTCTACCAACATTGTCCTTTTCCACATTTGTAGACTGAATAACATCTCCCAAAAAGATATGCCTAAACCCTACCCCCCAGTACTTATGAATGTGAATTTACTGTTAAAAAATAATTTTTGCATATAATTAAGGATCCTGGGATGAGATCATCTTGGATTCAAGGTAAGCTGTAAATCCAATGACCTATGTCCTGACAAGTATAAGGAGAGGGAGGTTTGAAGCACACAGTCAATGATCAGAAAATACAGAAGTGAAGATCAAATGGAGATGGAGGCAGACATTGGAGTGATGTGAGTACAGCCCAGGAGCAGGAAGGATTCAGGACCACTACCAGAAGCTAGGAGGGAGGGACGGAACAGAATGTCTCTCAGAGCCTCCGGGAAGAACCAAACTGCCGGCATCTTGATTTTGGACTTCTGGCTTCCAGAACCGTGAGATGATACATTTCTGTTTTTGTAAGCCACCCAGTTAGTGTAATTTGTTTCGGCAGCTCGAGGGAACTCACAAAGCCACCATCCCTGTCACTACAACTTCTTTTCGGTGCTTTGATCTCTTCAAAGCAGTTACTGTTTCTTCCACATCTCCCAAAGATATAATCAAGAATTTCTTGTGATTAAATTCCCAATTAACGCAAACAACTAAATGCAATCTGGGTGAACACCTGAAGAAAAATGTCAAAAATACGTAAATGTTAGGTTATGGGAAAATGATTTTGCCTGTTAAAATTCGGCTGACTGGCTGGGTCTAGACCCACACTACTTCCTTTTTTAAAGTTCTGAACAGGCGCTGAGGCACTAGAAGCCTAAGGAGACTGAATGACATAAGATGTGTGAAAGTGTACTGTTGATCAATGCTACAGGAGAAAAATAGCTTCATCTAACTGACAAAGGAGGGTTCCATTTAATACAACATATAGGTACTGATATGCAAATTAATTATTACCATGCATGGTGATAAGAAAAAAGACAAAGAATATAAAAATTTACATTTTATTATTTTATATGGCCAAACCAAATTATTTTAGATGATCTTACCTTATATTTCTCTGGCATCTGCAAAACCAAAGTTTACCAATTTTCCATATCCTGAATCTTTTAATGGTTCTTGCATACAGAAACTATTTAGAAAGACTCTCACAAAGTCAAACATTGTGTTTTAAATTGCCCCAAATTCCCTAATTCTATAAAAGGTAGCTGTTTTCCTCCTAAGGTCTAGTGCTGGTAAATAGAGTTATTTACACAGATCATATTCACCTAGGTGGTCACTAAAAATAAAAATGTGGATTGATCACCTTAAGGACAGAATGCTGTAAGTGAAAGGCCAGGATGGAAGTGAAATCTCAATCAGGGGAAATAAGAGGAGCAACCTCAGTAATTAATGGTAAGGGTGATCAAAGGTAGAGAAAGGGAGGACTTGACCTTTCTTCTGGTAGAGTACAGATGGTATGGGCCAGCCAGGTGTTGGCTTCAGAGCCAAGGGAGCTCCTGACCCAGACACAAGACATCTCCTTATTAAAAGACTTCAAGACTTAAATAAAGAAAAGAACATATTGCCCAAAACTCATCTGCAAATAACTGTAATAAATAGTACCACATCATTTCCTCGTGGGGATTGGGATAAGGGATCAAAACATATTCAGTCCCAGAAAATGAAGCAGGGGGGTTAAAAAATATAATTGTAATTTGAAAGAGCAAGCTTCTTCAGCTTTGCTGGGAAGAAAACAGTATCTTCACCCGTAGAGAGGAAAATGACCAGAAGGCCTGACAGGCCTTGACCATTTAATTTACAAACTAACCTGTTATCTTTTTTTGTTTATTTTTCTTGAGATGTGGTCATCAATAACAGGTAGTAGATGCAAAGGGAACCACTTAAAATCACTTTAGCCTAATTAAAATTTATGCTAGCCCCCAGTCTCTAGGTTTCTCCAGTTGAGAAAGGTCATGTTTTCAGGGGGGAAAAATACTGGAAAAAAAAGAAAAAGAGGGAAAGAAGAACAGAAAAAAGGACTAAAGTTTAACATCAAATGACATATGTGCCTAAGCCTCTCTATAGCATACCGATCCATTCCTACCTGAGACTTCTATCATATACATTAAAGGCTTTTCACTGTTTGCTGACAAGAGAATACAGACGATCAGAATTATCACACCTTGATTGATAGGAAATTTGCTGCTGAAGGTTTGCAGCTAATTTTCTAGTCTAAATTGAAGGTTTTTATTCTACTAATTTAAGCCTACAATTAAAAAAATTATTTTAAAAGCAAAAACTTCTAGAAAGAGCATTTTTTACAGACCTGGAGAGAGAGTGGCACTGAAAGAGGAAAGGTTATCTTTGATAATCTACCCCGGGATAACCAGATTCAGGTAGGGGCAAAATAACTGGATTTAAAACACAAACAAGGACAAATCTAATTCATAAGTTAATTCAATAGGGACGTGTTAAGTACCTGTAAACTTTATTTAGAGAAACAACCAAACTGGCCAGGCACGGTGGCTCACGCCTGTAATCCCAGCAGTTTTGGGAGGCCAAGGCAGGTGGATCACCTGAGGTCAGGAGTTTGAGACCAGCCTGGCCAACATGGTGAAACTCTGTCTCTACTACAATTACAAAAATTAGCTGGGTATGGTGGTAAACACCTGTAATCCCAGCTACTCAGGAGGCTGAGGCAGAAGAATAGCTTGAACCCAGGAAACGGAGGTTGCAGTGAGCTGAAACCGTGCCACTGCACTCCAGCCTGGGTGACAGAGACTTGTCTCAAAAACAAAACAAAACAAAACAAAAGCAACCAAACAAAAAGAAAATTTTCTTTTGTTTGTTTGTTTCCTGGAAACTAAAGTGATTGGAAATATTTTTAAAACTAAGTGAGAAAACAGGGACACACATTTGAATATATTTAAACATACCTAAGGTATGTATTGAAATATTGGCCTATAGTATACATTAATTGAATTTGTGTAAGTTTGTGCAAGAATTAATATACACAGATGTACATACACATGCATATATCTATTATTTCTGCAGTGGAAATAAAATAATAGAGAAATAACTGCAGATATATGTGACACTATCTATTTGCCTATATTTTAAAATATTATGCAGAGAGAATGAAATTCTTTAACTGAAGAAAACTAAAACTTTGTTAGAATTTGAACATCAGTCCAAATAACTGGTGTTTTATTACATCTATCTGCAAGAAAATTGATCTAAGAAAATCTTGCAACTTTGCAATTAATTGGCAGCGAGTGAGTTAATGCTGATAAATCATGAAAATCTACAAACATGTTTTTATTCCTATACACTACTTTATTTTCTTCTAAAATCAGAAATAGAGTTATAATGATAAAACATCAGTGTTGGTAATATTCTCTAAGTATTATTACAAATTCCTTCGGTTGTAAGTCAGGAAATTGGAGCTAAGAGATATGCAATAACCCACCCGAGATCACACAGCTTTGAATGAAAGCCAAATCTCAGATTAGGCAGCATTCAGTGTTATATCTATAATACTAGAATATCAGAAATAATTTTTTCAAGCAATGATTCCCCAAGAGTGAACCACAACTGTATAGAGGGTCCAATTATTCAAGAAAATGCTTACGAAAGCTGTTATCTCCATTATATTAAAAATAAAAAATATCCAAGCATACACTAACGTAATTTAACTTTTTAAAATTTTTCCTAAATAAATATTTTGGGATGTCAACAAAGATACAAACAATAGTAAAATTGTTCATTTAGCTTTCTTTCTAATATGAACAACTTAAACAACTGAAATATCCAACCATAACAAACTGTTAACTTCTGCTAGATCCATAGAATGAAATAACACGTGACTATGAAAATGATGTTGTAGTGAAAGATTTAATGGCTTCAGAATTTTAATTTTTAAAAAATGTTATGCAAAATGTTATGATAAATATAGCATAATTGACATACATAAAATATGTATATAATATACCACAATATCACTCACATTTATCTTATAGAATTGTGTTTTGTATTGTATTTTGCATTTGTAGTTTGTATTTTAATGCATTATTACACTTAAGAACTATTTCAGAAGTCAGAAAAGAAATGCTGAAATTGTGATTTCATCATAATCATATGATGGAATACTGAACAATGGTTATAATGAATGAACTAGTTCTAAGTGTACGAACAAAGAAAAAATTTTAAAATCATGAAGAGCAGAAAAGCAAACTGTAAAACGATACACAGAGTGAATGTATAATGAATGTTAAAATGTGACTTCTCTTCTAAATTGATCTTTAAAATTTCATTTAATAACTATTATAAAGACTATAGTTTTAATATTGAATATTGGTTCTGTGGGGGCAAATAATTAAAAGCCCTAATAAATATTACAATACAAATATTTTTGAAACATCTTTCTTCTCACCATGTTACTTATCCCAAATTTTTATTCCTTTTTTGTTCCCTCAACTAATTTTCTTTTTAATTTTCATGCTATTTTAATAAAAAGAGTATTAAACCAAAAGAGTAAGTATTCCTGTACTCCATGTTTTGTCTTTGTCGTCTTCAAAATAAACGTTCTTATTAGTGACATGAAGACTTCTCTCAGAGGTCGCTGATGAACAGGTCTCAGGTTTGGCACTATTTTGGTGACCTTGGTCTTACAGGTTTGGTTTACAGTATGTGTCAATGTTGCAGATCTAATTAGATTTGAGGATGATGACTCCCACTAACATTCACAAGGAAATGAAATGTATAACCTATTATGCCAATTTATTAATTTGTAATCAAAATCAAATAGGAGCCTGGAGCTCTTGCCTGCTGCCTGCAGAAGCACCCTGAACACCTTACTTCACTAAAGAAAATGGGCAAGAGTAAACAGATTGTCTGAAGGTGGCTTGGTGAGCATGAATTAGAATACATTATTCTACTTATATGATATACTCCTAATGCCATCAGACCATGCAGGTCTGCAGCATCAAGTATTCAGAAAGCTAGCAACTACTTTCTTTCCCGGAGGGTACCCATGTGAGTATTACCAAACACTGCCCTTCAGATTCTGGTTAAGTTTGCATGTTTTCCACACACAATTAGAAACATTTATCTCATAGACATTGTTAAGACTGTCAGTATGATTGGAGCTGCTGCCTTGGGAATATATTCTATCCTTTTTGATAGAGATTCTTTTTCTCACAAATCTATAGATTTGGTCTCATATTACGTAAGAGGGGTCTTCTGATCCATTATTTCTTGACCGGTTTTTGAAATTTGAAGAGATTTCTGAGGTGACTTGCTTATTCTTTTGCCTAGAGGCGTATTTTTTTCTTAATTGTATATAAAAACATTATTTACTAAAACGTTTTGCATATTATTCACATTTTAAACTCTTCTGCCTTACAAAATGGAAAACATTTTACAAAAAAAATCTGCCAATATATACTTATTTAGAACATCAGAAATAATTTTTGAATTGATACATCAGTTGTAATTCTATAAATGATATTACATAATGAGCGAAACCACTGTCCCTTATTGTTATGGTTGTTGGTCTTCTCAAACAATTTAAAAATTAATTTTCTATAATTTCTTTGGGGTTATGAAAAGCTGATCCATGCAAATAGGAAGTGTTGCAAATCCTTTTCAATTTTATTCTAATCACACACTGATTCCAAATAATAACTCACTAAAATAAAATGACCAAGCTCCAGAAACGGGAAAATGCAAAGAATCTTACCATACAATAATATTTTTAATCGAGATTTTTCCCAAATCACATTATCTGATAGTTAAAAATTAAAGAGAACATTAAGCAGATAATTTTATTCATGTGCAATTCATGCTAAAGCAGATTCGAGTGTGAATTCTGTTTCAAAGGTACTTGTAACTTCAAATTTCTCTCTGTTTTGGTTATCTCAAAAGCAGTATCATTATGATAATTTGTTTCATTTGTACTGTTGGTACATGCACTCTTTTATTTAAATATATCAACAACAAAATTTTTAAGTGCTATAAGGTTTACTTTTTAAAATAGACTAAACTGGAACTACCAACATTGTATAAAACAATGGTGGCTGAAATAAGACTTTCTTAAAAAATAAATTTATAAATCATTCTATGTAAATATTACTAGCATAACAATTTGGACATAAACCTTGCCAAAATCAGTAACAGGGACCTGAACATTTAAGACTATTGTTAACATTATTTCTTATACTTTACTATTTCAAGGTTAGTTTTCCCTCAAAATTTCTGAAAACAAATACTGAGATTTCTATCTGTTTTATAATTTGTATTATCACAAAGTTTTCATTTCTTGAAATTTAATTTAATATGTGTACAATAACCATTAAATTTTTGCTTTCTTTGTTCAAATTAATCACTGTGAACTGTTTTAAAAGCAAAATTTTAAAAAGCATAAGGTTCACAAGTAATAAGAAACACCGTTTTGTTGAAAATGTTATTAGATTTCTTAAAGAAGTAAACAAATTGTAAGCAAGCAATAAAAAAATCACTGACCTTTAATTACATGAAAATTAACCTTTTTGGTTTTGATCCCATAGTTACAAATAAAATTTTGAAGAAATCACTAACAAATTTGACTCACACAAATAATTTTAGAAAAATACATATTATGAGTGTTAATACTTTATATGAGTTTAACATATTTTAAATCAAAATAAAATAAAGTTGGCAATAACTGCAATATTGTCAACTCTGCTCTGAATATAAAAAGCAAAATAATTAAGTTGTATGGAAAAGTATTAATGTGAAAAGTATGAATAAAAAACTTCACAATGATAACACAAGAGGACCTGTATTTGGGAAAAATCCTACAATATAAATAATGACACATGCAAAATATAAATTTAATACTTTTGAAACTCAAATCTTTAGGCAACATACTTAAGAATTGAAGGCACTTTAGTGTATTTAATTTTATCAAAAAAAACATTTATTTTGCAGAAGGAATTGTTATATCCTACATGAAATTAAAATAAATAAATCTGTAAGGCAATGAGAAAAAGAAATTATGAACATCCCATCACAAAACAAATATTTTCTGGTTGTTAACCTTAGACTATCTTGCATCTATTTGTTATTAAAAGAAAGATATCAGTGTACTGATTTTTATTTGATAATAAGAAGAGATCAAAGATAGACAGATCCTAATATTTATTGAGCACTTAATTTGACATTTATGTTTTAAAAATTTTTATCAATATTATAGATGCTGTTTAAATTTAGGTAAATATACTTTAAGAAAAAGGCTTAGAGATGGAAAGTAAATTGGTATGTTTATTTTTCAATAATAACTGCTTAACCTTTAAATCTATGTTCAACAAGATACCATTATCTTCTCAGAATATTCTATTCTACTGATAGTACATATTAATTGACATAGAAAATTAAAAGACACACACACACACATATACACAAGAAAGCCAATTTATCATTTCTAGTTGCCATTTTGGCTGAAATATGGGATTATTTATTCTTGCTGCTGTTAATTTTATATACAACCAAAACTTAAACCTATAAATATTTATCTTCTTCTAAATAACAAAATTAAATCCTAAAAACTACATCAACAACTTATTCTTAGTTTTTATTATTTTTATTTTATGCTTTATTTTATTTTTAATAGACAACTATTAAAAATCAGTCTACTATATAATTGCTGAATTATTTTTAAAAAGGTAATGTGAATAAATCTTTCCGCTTAATGAATGATGGATTGAGCTATAAGATGAAAAAATATTAAGTATTGATGTAATCCATTAATACACTGATATTTGTGACTGTGATTAGTTCTCATTAAAAGTGACCAGGTTTAAAAAATGTTAAAATAAAGTTTATTTAGAAAACTGGTGGTATAAACTGGAGGGAAGACATTCATGGAAAGGTGTCTCCTCACTTTTCTCCCTCTGTCATATAGTTGAAGCTGACATATGGACACTTTCTGTTCTCACATGCCCATGGCACTAATTTAGTAAATTCTATAGACCCAGAGCAGAGATTGTTTTATTGTCTGTTTCGCATAATAATGTTCTAAATCTAATGTTACCAGTAAAGATCTCTGTCGTACAATAATTATCAATATTTATTACTAAAGCAAGTTCTTGAACATACTGTAATTTAAGCATGGAAGGTTGAATAAGAATCTAATATAATTTATATTCATAATAAAAGTACTAGCAAAGTAGTAATAATACTGATTTGGGGGTATATAGGAAGTAACATCAACTTAAACTTTTTGCAACACCAGTATTCAGCCTCTCAATTTGCCAGCAGTATTCTATGTGTTAGCTGCCTTCAGTTTAGTCACAGAGTTCTGATGATCATAATCAATCATACATTTCAAAACCTTTGAGATATTCATATTGGAAAACACAGTATAATTCTATTTGTTAAGGGTGCTGTGAAATAATCAAAATCATGAAACATATTCCTATCAGAATGAAAATGCTAGTTAGACAACTGTCTTATTCTAATAATATCAGGTACCTTTAATTATGCCTCTCCAATCTCCTACCTTTGGAAAATAATAATTAGAAAGGTATGCTTATTATAATACTTAGTAAGTGTGCTTCTGGTAAATAATTTTTCACGCACTTGATACCCACTTTTGATCCATCCACCTTTTTCCATAATAAGTTCTAAATATAAGTCCTTTAAAACATGAAAGATAGTTTTTGACCACTATAAAGAATGACTATGTTCATCTTGTCCCATGGTTTTAATCCCTTGGTAACAATATAAACAGTTTATATAACATATTGTATTTAGAGGTTATCACAAGTTTCATGGTAATTACGTGAATAGTAGGGCAGCTTACCCAATTATATTTCTATGACTAAATATCTCTAAAGCTATATGGCAGAACTGTCCTATACAGTAACATATAGAAAATTACCTGAGGACTCTGGGGCTTCAAAAAAAATTTGGGATAATCAGTGAAATAAAATCTATCCCTGAATATTGTATGAGCAAAACTGTACTCATGTTAAAAATATGTTTTATGAGATATATATCATATAACATATGCCATAAAACAATCATATTATACATATATAATTAAGCTATATTCTTCGTTGACTTTTATACAAAGAAGTGGTAATTAAAGAGAGTTAAAGGTAAAGGTGTTTGTACCCAATACGGCATTAACATATAAAAATTAAATTACAGTAATACTCAAAGTTGGAAATATTATTTGGGATAAATCTTACATCCTCATCATTTCTGCTAAAATTTATATCGGAAGATACATTTTTCACTGCTGTACTCATCTAGAATAATTTTTTATATTATGATTTTTTCCTTATATATAGCGCTAGAAACTTTTTCTTCTTATTAAAAACTAATAGTGCCTCCCAATAAAACACCCAAGTTTCAAATATATATGCCTTTTCTATAAATTATAAGTGAAAGTCATGTTCAGTCATACTTGACACTAAGAGAAACCAAACAGGCAGGTGACAAGACAGAAACTAAAGGATAAAAGGTTTCATCTTTTGCTTGATCTTCACTGACTGATAAACCCATGTTAACTCCCAGAAGATAACTTAATGGAGAAAAAACCAAAATCTCTGCTTCTTCATAATCTCTCAATCCCTCTATATGAGTTTCAAAAACTTAATTCAGTTGAAATATTAGGTTGGTGCAAATGTAATTGCGGTTTTATATTTAAGTCTAAACCCAGTGGCTACATTTTATGGTGCTGGAAGAAAACTACCTAATAGAGCTATATTATAGCTCTATTAGAACAATGTCCTAAGGAGATGGAATGAAAATACAAATAATGCAGAAAGTGCATTAAAATTACTGTAATAACAAGTGCAAACACTTGGTGAATGCCAAGCTTCAACTATTACCACGAGGCTTAGGTTAAACACAGGTCCTCTACTTAACAGATATCTATTTTTGATCAAGTTTTTAAAATGAGAATTTAAAGTTGATGATTAGACTATTTTCCAAAATTCTTCAATAGGCACATTGCCACTCCCATTACCAAGATTCCCAGTGAAAACTGATGACCCATGTGTGTATGTATATATGTATGTATGTATGTATGTATGTATGTATGTATGTATGTATCCAATATTTCCCTCCATAAACTTGAACTCAACTTCAGTAGCATATTACAGGATTCTATCAGTCCAATAAACTTAACTGAAAACGCTCAGTACTATACGAAGAGTATTTAGTGATTATATTTTTAAAGTCTCAAAATATGTAGAAATACATATGTCAAAGTTATATCAAAATTATGTCAATCTTATCAGCATTTCATTTATATTGAGTTTACAGAAAAACTTACAAGGCACCCGGTTTTCTCTGAAGACATATATCACATGAGCAATGACCATAATATACCTACGTTTAACCTAATTTTACTACATTAACATTGCTTTGACCAGCTGATTTTTAAACTATCAATAAGAGTTATATTGGAGGAATTTAACACATTTAATAGAGATGATAAATTAGTAAATGTCTGGTATTCATATTTTCAAACATTTAAATATGGCATAAAACTTTCAGCATCTTACACTGAAACCCTTTTGTTCTTGCCTGTGTAAAGGGGCATAAATTTAGAATGGAATAAATTTAGAAAAATCTATAATCATTTAATCTGTGTGGCAACAGGCGGGATAAAATTAGTTCCTTCAGAAAGGTAGTTATACTATTTTATAACACTGGGAGTTCTAAGCCTTCTTGGATATTATGCGAATGTGAAAGAAACATAGTTTCAGAATGCAAAAGTAAGTACTTTGCTACAGACGTTATCTGAAGATTTAGAAAACAGTCACATATATTTTATAAACATGTGCCCTCAGTGTAAAGCATGTTTAATTCAAATGATTGCTAGTGCTACATTTTTCAATGGCATCGTGTCTGTCTCTAAATTCCTTAATATGTTTGCTGTATGGCTGTAACTTTTAAATTGCTAAATGATGACATTAAAGTAAGACCTAATAGGATTTTTTTCAGAGTAGTTAAGCTCAGTTCTCTGCCACGGTAAAATCTATGACAAAACACAATGAAAGGAGCAAGAGATGGGAGATGAGCAGACTAGATTGAAGAACCAGTTCTTTCCTGAAACGGTGCAACAAAGCAGGTGCCTAAGTCTTTGCCGTTCTGCCTGTGAAATGGGCAGCCCATTTGTCTCTGTTCACTTTAAAGCTATTTTTTCAGATGCATGACTGATTGCAAAGTTTTAAAATTTTTGTAGGAAGGCAGATTCTCTCCTCATGTTATTGTTACCATAATATATCAATGTAAGGATTTTTTAAAGTGGCTTTTGAAGAATTTTGTCTTTGTCTCTGAAGGTAAAATGAATGTGACCAGATCACACCAGATCTAAATTTCATGAAATTTTGAGGAAAAAGGAACATCAATTCACAAGAATGACTAAAAAGTTTTATTAACTTTTTCCTTCAATTTAAGCTGCAGTAAATTATTTGAAGAAATAAGTGTATTTAGCTATCTTAACTTTGCAAAACACAAATTCAGTTGCATTTAGAATACTAAAAAGTATTCAAAATGATGTTTGCTTACGTTCAAATGCAAGTTTTTATACTCTTTTAAACTATAACACAATAATTAGACTTTTATTATGGCAGAATGCATTGTTTTTCATGTCGTTGTGAGTCACTGCAATATATAACCAAAGGACCAGTTGACATTTCTGACATGAATGAATCATCCTGTACTCTAATATGCACAAAAACTATTTTCAAATGCTTTATGAATGAAAAAGAAGCCTAAAGAATTGAAGTTTCTGCAGATATATTCCAATCATATTTCAGTAGACACAAAATTTTTTCCAAATATGACAGTAAAACCAGTGTCTCCCCTAAAGTGAGCTCCATACACATTTATTTGGCCTCTTTGTGATTACATCGGGATAAATGAGTGTTATGCAGGTTCCAGTATAGTTTTCCACTGCTCCATCTGCTGGATATGTCTACATCTCCTGCACCAAAGTGGTAACCTCTGAAAAGTAACATGAACTAATTCAGCAGGTGGCTTCAAAAGGCTCAAGCACGTTGCTTGGAAACTTACTATGACTTCTAAATTTTTGTTTCACTAAAAACCTCCTATTTCATCGTAAGAAAAAAATAATAATAATGAACCTATAACTATTACTAAAATAGTATGGCACGGAAGATACGTTTCCCAGTAGGTGATACGTTACAAACAAGAAGGCACTGGGCAATTCATTGCAGGTTTGCACACCGCTCTGATCTTACTGATTTTGGCATTTATCTGAGAGGTTTCAGAGTCCTTCACCTAATCTAGAAATGGAAATCGTATGCATAAAAGTTTTAAAGAGATTTTTAAGCATGTCTGTTATTAAGCACATAAATACCACAAAAGGAAATCATGCCTCTCCAAACACGATTTACCAAGGATCAGGGAGCCCTTAGCATTTTCCCCCGCAGCGTCTTTGCAGGCAGCTCCAGAGTTGCGCTCTCCGACGAGGCAGCCCCACTTTTCCTCCTTCTTCCAGTCACAGACGGGACAACGTGCAGCTGCCGCCACCGGCCAGGCTGCTGTCACCGCTGTCACCGCTGCCGCCGCCGCCGCTGCTTCAAAACCATAGCGGCTACTGCAAAGAAAGGGTTACTCCTCTCTTGGAGTCAAGTGGCTGCAAACTTCACCTGCTTTTCATGTACCTTCTCCTGCAAACTTGTACGTCCTTCCGTGCAGAAGGAGCAAGGAAAACCATTACCAGCATCACAGGGAACATCATAATGAAGGACACCCCCGGAAGGTAAGACCTGCGAGTTATTCCGAAATACGATCTTAATCCAGATGAGAACCACCGCTGCCAGCAGATCCTCCCCCCCACCCTCCTCTCGGTTCCCATCAGCGAGCGGAGCCCATGCCGCCAGGGAGGGCGGCTGCAGCGGCCGCCCGCATGTGCGAGGTGGAGGTAAAGTTTGACAAATGATGACCACTCCGGGAAGGGGAAGAATCTAGGCAGCCAAAAATCCGCGCGGGGTGTGCTAGGGAAGAAGCCGCGCCAGGAAGCGCCACGTACCTTGCTGCGGTGCCAGGCGCGGAGGCTGAGGAGAGAGTCGGTGGAGGTGGCGGGGCGAGAGTCCAGCCCTGGCCGCGGGCTCCCTCCCGGGGCGAGCGGAGCCGCCGCCGCCGCGGCCGGGCGCAGGGCCGAGCGGCCGCCGCCTCGCCAAAGGCGCTGGGCAACGCCACTCACTTGGCCCGGGGAAGTTGGGCAGCCTCCGCCGCGGCCTCGGCACTCGGCGAGAGCAACACGTTTAGTTTGAACTTTCCAGCTCCAGTCCCGGCAAATCCACACTCACGCACACACGCGCGCGCGCGGACAGCCTCTCAGAGGCGCGCGAGCGGGCCCCGGTGGCTCTCTGGTCGCGTCTTGCTCTCTCCCTCGCTCTTATTGGCGCGGAGGTGATTGTTTTATTTATTTATTTCCTCCTCCCGGCTCCATCCCTCCTCCCCGCGCCTCCCTCTCCGGCTTCCCCTCCTCCTCCTCCTCCCCGGTCTGCGGGGCCGGCCGCGGCGGTCGCTCCAGCTGCAGCGTGGCGGGGCTGCGCGGCGGGACCCGGCGGGGGCGCAACGGGTGGGGGCGCTCCGGGCGGGGGCGCGGGGCCGGGCGGGCGGGGACGCCGGGGCTGCCGCCTTGGCTGAGGTGAGGGAATGTGGGGGAGGCGAGGGGAGGACGCTGCCGCCTGCCGCACTGTGCTGTGCCGGGGGCACCCAGCCGGCTGCTGCCGGGGAGAAGCGGGGCGAACCCCGCGCCGCGGCCGAGGAACTGCGCGAGGGGCGGCTGGCTCGGCGCGCCGGGACCCGGCTCCCTCTTCCGCCGGCCGGGCGAGAAGGCTCAGTCGCTTCCTAGCCACCGCCACCCCGCTTCCTTTCCTGCTCTCCCCGGGGGCTCCCCACAGCCCCTCGGGGACGCTCGGACGCGCGCCGCCACCGTTTATCCACAGAAGACAGGGGTTTGCATTTGTGAATGGTGGTTTCAGCGCTACGCGGTTAGGCTGCCTCCACTTTCGAGCCGCCGCTGCCCCGACTCTCGGGAAAGGTGCAGCCACAGCCGGGCGGGGCGGGCTCAGGCCTCCGGGGCAATGAAGTGGGAGTCTGCGGACCACGGCCCCCGGCGCGAGTTGGGGTGCCTACGTGACACTCCAGACCCACCTACAAGAGCCAGGGCGGCAGTGGCTCTGCTGCTACCATTCGCCCCAAAATGAGCTCTAAAACGGCAATTGACCGCTGTTGCTACGGTCTTTCAGTCACGGCCTACCGGGCTCCCAAACCTGCGGGAGAGGCGACCTGAAAGCCGGCCGCCCTCCCCCACACCAGTTACCCAAAGGCCGGGCTGGAAAGAGCCCTGGGCGTAGACCCGGAGACCGGCGGGCGGCTCTCTGCTACCTGCCCCGCTTCCGAGCGGCTTCTCCAACGCCAGCCCTTCCAGGCTTCCCGTTAGGTAAACCTGTTTTGGCTTTTTTTTTTCTCCTTTGATTTGCTATTTATTTATTTTTAGGAATTCATGATTTCAGTCACAAAAGGGGGAAAAATTAAAAGGAAGTAAGTCTACAATAGATCTGCATAAATACAGCCAGTTAACTAAGCAGCATCACAAAGGCTGCAATGTAAATCTCACGCCTTGGAATTGGAGGCAGGTTGGTTTCCTCAGCGTTTGCCCTCCGAAGTCCTCACAGCCTTGGACTGCATTGTACAAGGTCTACAGATACAGGAAGATGGTGACACTGGAGTCCTTGCCCTGATCCGTCACAGTATGCATATGTATGTAAACTGTGCTTTCCTTTCTATCCAAACCTTCCAATTTCCCTGAAATGTATTCATTAGCTATGCATTTCTTAGTCTTCTGGATCTTTTCTCAGAAATTCACCGTTAAGGGTACAAATACTACTTAAGGAGCCGGTTTTACATACTTTACATTTTCCTTGACATCCCGAGTAAGCCCCCCAGAGGTCAGACGGGGAACAGGTGAGGTCAGAAAATGGGAGAAGGTGGAAAAAAAATGTTTATCTTTTAGGTGGAAAAAAAAATGTTTATCTTTTCAGCATGTTCTAGTTCTCTTGCCCCAGCATAATAATGTGCACTTGCCATTTTCAAAGAAGGAAAACAGCAAATGCCCATTTCTGGACCTTTAACTACTCCCGTACTCATGAAACACCGGCTTATTACTGAGAAAAACGGCCACCCATAATTCAATTTAAGACCTTTATTGAATGGAGGAATCTAGAGATAATACCTAAAAGGCAGTAAAGTGCCTTACTGGTCAGCTGAGTGGCGGACATGAAGATGTGCCCGTCTGTGATGACATCTATGCCAGTGAGATAGTAAGAGTTTCACTCAAAATCTGAAAGAACCACGTGCACTTTTAAAGCCAAAGCTTTGGAAACACATGTATTTCTCCAGAATTATAGTCCCCTGCTCCAGAGGTAGGCAGCCTCTAATATAGGGAAATACCTGTCTGATATTGATAGCTTCGACTGTGTTTTACATACAGCGTTTTCTGTATACACACACACATATACACGCACACACACACATATATGAATCTAACATGCACGCACACACACATATATACATATGTATCTAACACATATATACGTACATATATATATATATACACACATACACACACGTATTCCCCAACCCACCACCATAGTTTGAACAACTCTTAAAACAGCATACTTTTTCTAATTTTCTCTGAGGTAATGCAGCTGTTCTCCTTGTCCCTCCTCCCCATTTCCCCACACACTTGCACCCAATATGCTTCTCTTCTCCAGTGTCCAGTGGTAGCAGTGTTCACTGAGTTTTGCAATCCACATTATGATGGCTGTATTCACTTACTAGAGAAACACACATTTGATGCTGGGAATGATATTGACTCTAGATGCAGCAAACATCATTGTCACAGTTATTAGATGGAGAAAAGATGAAACCAGGAATTGATTTCATCATCATAGTAAAGAACTGAATATTGTATAATGTCTATTTTCTGGAAACATCATCTGTTTCAATGATTGTGTTTATGTTTGTACCCACAGCCTAAGGCCTGATTCATAGAAATTTAAAAATATGTGTAGGGTGAATTAAAATTACGAATACATAAACAGGGTGGATAGCCTATTTCTTTGTTAAGGTCACTGAATCAGAAGGAAAATGAGATTAAACATAGGTAGTAAGGGATAACTTAATGTTTTCAAAGGTTATTGTCAGAAATAACAAAAATATACTATCTTTATGTAGAATATAAAAATGTGTAACTGCATTGAATAAATTTATTTAAAAATATTATTTAATTTCTTACTAAAGGGATGGAAAATAAAAGGACATAGAAAGGTTCTGAAGGGGACAGAGGGATGGAAGTTGTGACCGTAAGGGAAGGAAGCTGCAATGGTGGTAGAGGAGGGGCATAATAAGAATATAAGAAACATGGAGAGAAAGAAAAGTATGAGAATCCCTTGATTCTGGCCGAGAACATCAGCAGTCATCAGAAAATCCCTCTTAAACCCTGCTTAATATCCTGAATTTGTGAAAATTTGCCTAAACAGTTAAGTTGCTTGCGTTACCACTGATAGAGCTACATCATACAGGAGAGTGAAACCAAACCAATAATTCTCACTTCCACAGTCAAGAACTTCACTTTTCCCACTTTTTCATAAAAGGCACACTGAGTCATGAATGTATATGGTACCATAATTTTAGTTCAATGTTTTAAAATTTATGAATGCACGTTGGCAAGTCACATAACTCCATCTTGTCCAGAGTCCCTACTTGTAATTTGCAACCAGTGATCTATTTATTTGTGTTTGTGTGTACATATGTATGTGTATGCAGACATATTATCAACATCTAACCAAAGGCACTGCAGTGTGTACATCTAGGTTACACATATGGAAACTGAAGCTCAAAAATAAAAATAAAAAATCTGTATTATTTGTCCCTGCTGGTAAAAAATATGTAAGCATTGCAATTTTGAATACCTAGGGTTAATACTAAACCATTTGCATGTTAGAAAATGACTACCAAAAAAAAAAAAATCATTTAAAAAGGTGTTCTTGGCCGGGCATGGTGGCTCAAGCCTGTAATCCCAGCACTTTGGGAGGCTGAGGAGGGCAAATCACAAGATCAGGAGATTGAGACCATTCTGGCTAACAGGGTGAAACCCCGTCTCTACTAAAAATACAAAAAAATTATCTGGTCCTGATGGCCGGCGCCTGTAGTCCCAGTTACTCGGGTTGCAGTGAACCCTGATCACGCCACTGCACTCCAGCCTGGGGGACAGAGTGAGACTCCGTCTCAAAAACAAACAAAAAACAAAACAAAAAAAAGATGTTCTTGATCTGTAATGTGTTTCATCTCTTGCTTCTCCAAATTCTTCAGCATTTATCATTATGGTGAATCTAAAAAAAAAATCACTAACATAATATACTCATTTTTTATACATATTTGCACTTTATAAAACATAGATTTTCTAACTCTCCTATGTTCACTTTGCTTGTTAGAGTTGAAGATAAAGGTTCCTCTTCCCCATATACCCTCCACCACCATCCCCATCTCAGCTTTTTTTTTTTCCTACATCTGACATATCCAGTATGTACATTCAGGACATTGGAACAAAGACAGGAAGACTTTAGACAAGCTCTTCAATTATATCTGAAGTCAGGGAGAAAGAAGGGCAGTAGATTAGCTGTTAGGGAATTTAAGGTTATAGAAATTCTGGGCAATGAAAAAGTTAATTTGCCAGAGGGACAGCACCATTTCCTTTATCTGTGTGAGGACAAATAGAATCTGTGTGCCAAGTGTGACTGTCCTTCAGCCTGTGGATATGAGCTCTTGAATACAGTCATCCTTTGTGTCTGGACACTCTAGCTTCACTGTCACCAATCTCTTCCTTCCTATCCCACGAAAGGGCCTCATTCGATTATTTCTTATTTTCTTCCTTCCAATGCGGGATCCTTGCAAATTCTGTTTCCTGTGCTTAGACCGCACCAATTTCCTCCACTATTCAGCTAAGGTAACTCTTATTCATCTCCAAGCTCCAGGTAAAGGCATATACTAAAATAACAAACACTTCCATTATTGGTTCTGGGACCCTATATTTGTTTTCATGACACAGTTTTCCAATAGATTATACCAGACTACTTGTAATTCCATAGGTCTGAGATATTGTATTTAATGAGTATATTTTCTCCAGCATTGGAATATTTCCATGAGGGGATTTTTGATTGTATCTTCAGCATTCAGGGCAGTGCCTGACACACAGTAGTTGTCAAAAGTACATACTTGTTAAATGAATATAGGAAGGAAAAATCAATACATTTCAGGCAGGCTGTATTCTGGATAGTGGAATGCTAGACAATTGGGATATGGTAGCGTAAAAAAAAAGACAAACTACTTAATTTTATCCAAGTTGATTCTTTCTTCACCATTATTATGAAAACCCTTGGTGTTTTTTGAAGATCTATGGTCTATGAAGATACTGTCAAGAAGAGAGACTTTGTGCTCTCTAAATTGCAAGTTGTTTTTTGATAGCTGCGTTTAAAAATTGAATTAGTGTGAATATTGTAGTTGGGAATATTTTGGCATTAAACATGAGTGAAAACCTTAAGTTTAAATCATTTGAGATAGCCTTGATTTTACAATTCAGGGAGTTAGTGGTATCATTTTCACTGAGGATACTACAAAAGTCCTGTACTCTCAAATGCAGTTTACACACTGATAAATTCATGAATATTCAAACATAAAATGAAGGATCTATATACCTTGAAACGTTAGTTAATTTTTATGTTCTCTTTTTGATATGGAGTTCCTCACATGCATTTTAAATAATATATTTATTAAAATATTGTTTAAACATTATTTCTCCTTTATATGTGGTGATATTTTATTTAGCAAAAAATAAAGCCAATTTCAAAATGTTCTCCTTCGTTGATAGAGGGATCAAACATGCTAACATTAATCATGCCAAGAGCTAACCAATGTCTTTGTAAAAGGTGAAGTTTCTCAGAGCTTTTGAGATAACCTTTCAAAAAATTACTTTTAATATTTGTTTCTACTAAAATAATTTTAAGACTAAGATTTTGAAAGCTGTGAAGGAGAGATGAATAGAGAAATCAAACTCGATAAAGAATTGAAGTCTCACAAGTGCATCCCTGTTACCCAGAGCCCAACATAGGGTTCTCAACTTGTAATTGAAGTACATTTTAATCTATCTTATAAAAGTACAAACACCAGGAGTTTGAAGGTGGGAAGAAGGGGAAAGAAAATAACATGTTATTTTATGCTGTATTCTATTGTCTCAGTCGACTCAGACTGCTATAATAACAAGACGCTCTAGATTGGGTAAGAAAATTATTTGTTACCATTCTAGAGGCTAAGAAGTCCAAGATCAATACAGCAGCAGATTCAGTGTCCAGGGAGGGCCTGTTCCTCCTAGACAGCGCCTTTTTACTGCGTCCTGACAGGGTAGAGGGAGGAAACAAGCTCCCTCAGGCCCCTTTTATAATGGCACCAATCCCTTTTAGGAGGACTCTGCCCTCATGACCTCATCATCTCAAGACTGCGTTGGGGATTAGGTTTCAACTTATGAATTTGGGGGTGGGGGGACATAAACGTTCAGATCATAGCATCTATGAGCCAAACAAACACGGAAACTTTCCAGGACCAGGGCAAAGGTGAAGTTAGTAAAGCACTCTCAGGCAGCAAATTCAAGTGAGTTGAAGGAGAGGTAGCACCAATAATTGAGTTGGGTAAAATTTACATGCAATATTTTCTAAATTGTGGCAAAACATTCATAACATACATGTTACTGTTTTATCCATTTTAAAGTCTACAGTTCAGTGGCATTAAGTAATTCACGTTGTTGCACAACTATTACCACCATCCATCTCTAGATATTTTCATCTTCCCAAACTGAAACTCTGCATAGTTTGAACAATTTGCCCCCATTCATTCCTTCTTCTAGCCCCCAACCCCCGCTATTCCACTGTATCTATGAATTTAACTACCCTAGGAAACTCATATAAGTATAATCATATGGTATTTGTCATTTTGTGACTAGCTTGTTTTCACATAGTAAAATGTCTTCAAGGTTCATCCATACTGTAGCATATATTAGAATTTCCTTTTTTTCCCCTAAGGCTGAATAATGTTTCCTTGGATGTATATACCAAATTTTGTTTATCCATTTACCCACTGATGGACACTTGGATGGATGCCACATTTTGGCTATTGTGAATAATGCTGCTATGAACTTGAGTGTACAAATATTTGTTCAAGTCCCTGCTTTCAGTTTTTTTAGGTATAAACTCAAAGTGGAGTTGCCAGATCATATGGTAATTCTGTTTAATTTTTGAGGAAGCACCATACTGTTTTCTATAGAGGCTGTACCGCTTAGTGGCCCTGCTTTGCCACTAGCAGGGCACAAGAGTTCCAGTTTCTCTACATTCTCAGTGTCATTTGTTATTTTCTGTTTGATTTTAACCATTCTAATGGGTATGAAGTGGCATCTCATTGTGATTTTAATTTCATTTCTCTAATAATAGTACTGTTGAGCATCCTTTCATGCCCTTATTGGCCATTTGGATAATATCCTCTTTGGAGAAATGTCTGTTCAGTTTCTTGGCGCATATTTTAATTGGGTTGTTTGGTTTTTTTGTTTGTTTGCTTTTGAGATGGAGTTTTTAAATATATTCTGGATAATAACCCTTTATCAGATATATGAGTTTCAAGTATTTTCTCCCATTTCATGGTTGCTGTTTCACTTTATTATTAGTGTTCTTTGATGCACAAAAGTTTTTATTTTGATGTCATGCAATTTATCTATTTTTAATGCAATACATTTTTTAAAACAAGAATTAATTCAAAAACCGTGATGAACAAAACATCCAAATTTTAAATACAGATAGATCGGTATTACTGATTTTGTCTTTGCCTCAGGCTCCAATATGGCTAAGCACAGCAATGCTGTGTGCATTTTCTACACTACGCATCATGAAACATAAGAAGTCCTGTGGATGATAACACTTCTAGTATCACAAGTAGATAAATCATATAAAAAGATTCTAGAGATGTTCTGTGTTGTGCAATAAATAGCACCTGATTAATGTAAGGTCACAATTCTCTTTGTTTGCATTTTCTGTATTTTCAGGAGAGGATAAAGGGCAAAATTCAGGTCTACACTTGCAGCTTGCTTTTCTGAATAAATATGATTATTCTTGTTAGAAAGAAAATGGTCTCATCTCTTGATGAGAATTATAACTGGAAATGATGCCCCAGGAGAGTTGCCTGAGGGTGGGGGTAGGTAAGCTGCAAAGTCAGTGAAAACCTATCTTCTGTATATTGTTGTGCCTAAAGCGTTTACTTACCCAAAGAAATCATGTTTTTATGTTATACAGGGAAATCACAAATCAAGAAGTCTGTAAATGTTCTAAAAGCTCATAGAAAGTTTCCAATATTAATAGATTTAACACATGTCATTTAAATTTTCCAAATGTCAGCATATGGCACTCTAAAGATTCCTTCCATCTTAATCACTAGTGACTTTATGTAGATCTACCTTGCTGAACAGAGCCCAGGCATTTCACATAGTTCTACAACTGTGTACCTCTACTTTTGTCAAATGTAAACAGGAAGCTAGATTAATGTTCTTTATAGTGTTTCCTATTGTCAGCACTGAGACATTCTTTCTTAAATGGTTGGTTCAAGTTTGACTTTGTTTTGAAGCATGTATTCAAGAAAGTATTTAAAAATCATGAAGTTCATGCTCTTAACATCCTGAGTAATCAGTCCTCAAAGACCATTGCACCACTTGTCAATCGAGGGGACATTGCCATGTGACAACAAAGACGCACCATGAAAGTTGCTTGTAAACTGCTTTTGAATTGAAGCAGTTTACTTTTTCAATAAATGAGAACAGAGGATTTTTTTTTGATAAAATGAAATTCAATTTTTTAAAGCTATCTGAATCTTTTTAACTGCTTTCTTTAAACACGCATAGTAAAACTTTCATGTGAATTTCATTAAGCTTCAAGGTCATTCAGGAGAAAATGATAAGCATATCAATGACAGAAGTGCTTTGCATGTAATGCCGGTGTTTGCCTATCAAATGGATTCATTAAGACAGAAGACCATTTATTCATTTTCTGTTATCACTATTATAATATTTAGAAAGAAATCTTAATATGCCATATATTCTCTCACTGTTTTTCGTAAGAGCATATCTACCATACAATAAATAAGTGCCTTCATATCACTATTGTTATTTTTACTTTCAGTGAATTAGAAACAAAATAATCTATAATTCCTTCAACTGATTTTAATTACATCTGAATGTCCAGGATTTTTCCATTAATATGGAGATATATATATGTGTGTATATATATATACACATATATATATAATTGAAGGTTGGACTTTATATTGGAAAGATATTTTTACAAGGTTATTAAAATTGTAGAAATTCATAATCTTCCCTTATTGTGTTTTTATAATATATATTCGAAACTTTAATTGAAACTAATGTTCACAGTGAAGAAAAAAATTTGAAAAGTAAAATATTTTCAAAAGTTTTTTTTATTAAATTCATCCACTTGTTAGTCCAAGAATTTAAGTTTTTACTTGATTATTTTTATATGCTCATCTCGTGAAAAAGTATCTTTTAACAACACTTAATTATATGTATTAATATACTGTAATATTGATTAAAATTCTGTTCTACAGACATGTCAGTATATTGACTTTTTAAATACTTGAGAATTTCAGATATTATTTACTGGTATAATTTACTGGAGTTTCAATGGTGATCATGAAAAGAGAAGACTTTCTTCAAGTAAATAAATAATTGCAGTTTCCAATAAATTTGTAGTATGCTGTCCACACTGCATTGTTTATAATCTATTTGTTAGTTGGTATGCCTTGCTGATGGTGGGTGTGACTATCTGTGCAATTCTGAAGATGCATGGCTAGCAGAAAAAATGTCTACATTGAAGAAAACAAAATCACTTTGTCAGAATAATGAATAATTACAAAAATTACATTTTGCATTGAAGTAATTTGATGCGATATTTCTCCAAAACAAAAGGGTAGCTACAGTAGTGTCTGGATTAGCTAGAATTCTCCAGAATAGCTGTGTATAATTAATTAAATTTTTGATTGAGTTAATTGGCATAGCTATTGTTTCAATTGTTCATTAATTTTCTATAAGTGTACAATAGTTTCTCCCTTAGTAAATAAAGGATAGTAAACATTCTTAGCAAGATGATTTCTAGTCGAATTTGTTCATTATTTAAGCATAAATTATGCTTGTATTGTGTTATGAAATGCTTTGAACACTGTAAATACAAAGATGAATACATCTTAACTTCCTAACTATTGGCATCACACATTTGGAAACCCATCAGAGATGTTGAGAATGACTGTGCTACATACAGTAGCCAAAACAGGCATTACCAACTTTTAAAAAATCATTGACAATCTAACAGGTAAAAAGGATATTTATTATAATTTAATATTAATGTATTTTATTAGCGTTAGCTTGTTCATTTTTCATCATTTAAAGTTCATTTGTGGTGCTTATATTGTGAGCTGTCATTTCATATCCATTGCTCATTTTTTTGGTTATACTGTTAGTTTCTTCCTAGTAATATGTGGAAGCTTTTTATATATTAGACTTGGATTATGGTGACTTCTTTGCCCTGCATGTTTGTTATTAAAAACCTAGTCAAACTTATCGTTGTTTTCTTTTCCGGCCTTCGAATATTGTATTACACATAGAGAACCTTTCTTTGCCCTAACATTTTATATTATTTTCCCAAAATTCCTGTCACCTTTTGTAAGATTCATTTCTTTTATATTCAAATATTTAGTTTTTATGGTACAAGGTGGCATTAAGGATCAAACTTATTTTTCCCCCTAGAATTTTCCCACTGGTTTGAAGTGTCCCTTAAATTGTCTTATGAATTTTGCCTGCTTCTGGATTTCTGGTTGGTTAAATTGATCTGACTTTCTATACACATCGTATTATTTCCTAATTTAATTATTATTTTATCATTTTATCAACATTAAAATTTGCTTTACTACAAAAACAAATATTGCTTCTCTTCTAATCCCAATTCCAAGTAATTTGCTTCTTCTGAGCTGCTACAAGTAATGCATAACCCTCTGAAATGAGGTCTGGAATATTATGGGGATCCCAAAAGAAAACTGGCTTAAGGCAGCTTCTCCTGACAGTTGGGCAAACATGTGAAGAACTGAATCAAAGATCAAGGTCAACACCTAGTAATTTGCAGATTATTGGCGGGTTTTATACAGTAGAGACTTTCAAAAACCCACAGGGAAGATCAGTATTGGCCCCAGGTTAGCATGTTGAGCTTCTCCTATTATCAAGAAAATAAAAAATAGTGGAACCATGGGCAGATTACTATATCAGTTGAGACTGAGGATGTACAGAGGGCACATGCAGAGCCCCTTTCATCAGTTGTCCCAAACATGGATTGATGTCTTACCTACTTCACATCATTCTTTATTACCTTTGTGACTGTTGACCCTCAGTGTAAATACATATCCACACCTAAGCCCCCATGCCTAGAGAAAAAAAGAAAATTGCTGCATGTTTAAAAGGCTGTGTATCAGTTTCCTATGGCTTCTGGAACAAATTACCACGAACTATATGGTAAAACAACCCAATGTTATCCTTTTATGGTTCTAAAACTTAGAAGTCTGAAATGGCTCTTAGAGGGCTAAAACCAAGAGGAGAGCAGAGCTACACTTCCAGAGCCTCTAGGGTAGAATCTGTTTCCTTGCTCTTTCCAACTTCTTGATGCCACCTGCGTTTTTTGACTCATGACATCCTCCTCCATTTTCAAAACCAGACATGGAGCACCCACTAGTCTCTCTTTCTCTTTCTGTCTCTCCCTCTCTCCCTTCCATTCCAACCTCTGCTTCTGTTCTCACACCACCTTCTCTCCCTATGCTTCTATTGTCACATCACCATCCCTGACTAACTCCTCCTGCATCCTTCATATAAGGAACGTTACTAATCATCAGGCATACTCAGATGACACAGGATCTTGAACTTAATCATATATGCAAAGTCTCTTTTGCATGTAAGGCAACATTCACAGATCCCTGGGATTAGGATGTGGATATCTTTGCGGGACATTATTCAACCTACCATAGATAGGCCAACAAAGGAAGTTCAGTCACAAGATGCAAAACTGATATACAGCTCATAGAGGAATGAGGTGAAAACTTCAATAAAAATAGGAGTAATTGAGGAAACACAGGAGCAGTAGAAATGTACACACACACACACTAACACAAACATAGACTTTTTTTTTAATTAAACAACTAAGTAGAATATTTGGAAGGAAGGAAAATCACATATATTGAAAAGAAGATTATAAACAGAAAATGGAAACTATAAGCAATTGTCAAATGGAAAAAGCAAGAAATAAAAATAATAATATCAGAAATTAAGAATTCCTTCAATAAAATATCAGTGATGTCAAAAATAGTTAATAGTAGTCATTCAAACTAACAAAGAAAGATGGTAAAAGAAGGTAAAAAAATGACCTGAACAGCCAAGAGCTGGGGGACAATATCAATGGTCTAATATACCATGAGTATAGTTCCAGAAGGAGTAGAAAGAGAGAATGGTACAGAAGAAATATTTGAAAAGAAAACAGCTGAAAATTTTTGGAAAGCAATGAAAGATGTCAAATCACAGATTCATAATACTCAAAGAAGATAAATACCCCCACTCTCCCACACACATATGTATTCACACCCAGATACACCAAAAGTAAACAGTAAATTTCCAACGCACTCAAAGAAAAGAGACAAAGAGGACTACAGGAGAACAAAGAGAACTAAGCATTCTCAATAGTCCCATTAGTGGTTATGAGTGACTATGCAGCCATCAGAAACCCAATGCCGAAAGAAAGAATACAGAGACAAAAAGAGGACAATCTGATGATTCCGCTTATGTTAAGTTCAAAAATAGGTAGAACTAATCTATGTTGATAGAAGTAAAAGTGTGATGTCTTTCAGGGTATTGATTTATAGCAAGCACAGGGAACACTCAGGGGTACTGGAAGTATTTTGCTGTCCTTATTTTGTATTTGAATTTGCCCACTCTTTTTTGTAAATTTGGATGACTTTTTCTTCTTTTAGTTTTATATATTTTGTATGTTAGTCTTTTAATAAATTATGTATTGAAATATAGTCTTCAACTTATTCTTGTAACTCTTTTAAAGTTTTTTCAGTGTATTGTGATTCTTAATATTAAGAAAGCTCTGTTTATCATATTACATTTTTTCACCTTAAACTTAAGATGTATAAAATAAGTAAATTGTGTAAATAAGGTATAACTGAATTAAAATTGAATAAATGTAAAAGGGAAAAAAGCCTAAGAAATATCAAGATCTCAATATAAATAAAAACCGAAGAAAAATTAATACACTTTTTTTTAATGGTAATGATTTTTTAATTATTATTATACTCTAAGTTTTAGGGTACATGTGCACAATGTGCAGGTTAGTTACCTATGTATACATGTGCCATGCTGATGCGCTGCACCCACTAACTCGTCATCTAGCATTAGGTATATCTCCTAATGCTATCCCTCCCCCCCTCCCCCCACCCCACAACAGTCCCCAGAGTGTGATGTTCCCCTTCCTGTGTCCATGTGTTCTCATTGTTCAATTCCC
The DNA here is from genome assembly GCF_000001405.40 of Homo sapiens. NCBI lineage: Eukaryota > Metazoa > Chordata > Mammalia > Primates > Hominidae > Homo > Homo sapiens. Next base: position 180,045,598 of record NC_000004.12, on the reverse strand, counting down.
ACCTATGAGTGAGAATATGCGGTGTTTGGTTTTTTGTTCTTGCGATAGTTTACTGAGAATGATGATTTCCAATTTCATCCATGTCCCTACAAAGGACATGAACTCATCATTTTTTATGGCTGCATAGTATTTCATGGTGTATATGTGCCACATTTTCTTAATCCAGTCTATGATTACTGGACATTTGGGTTGGTTCCAAGTCTTTGCTATTGTGAATAGTGCCGCAATAAACATACATGTGCATGTGTCTTTATAGCAGCATGATTTAGAGTCCTTTGGGTATATACCCAGTAATGGGATGGCTGGGTCAAATGGTATTTCTAGTTCTAGATCCCTGAGGAATCGCCACACTGACTTCCACAATGGTTGAACTAGTTTACAGTCCCACCAACAGTGTAAAAGTGTTCCTATTTCTCCACATCCTCTCCAGCACCTGTTGTTTCCTGACTTTTTAATGATTGCCATTCTAACTGGAGTGAGATGGTATCTCATTGTGGTTTTGATTTGCATTTCTCTGATGGCCAGTGATGATGAGCATTTTTTCATGTGTCTTTTGGCTGTATAAATATCTTCTTTTGAGAAGTGTCTGTTCATATCCTTTGCCCACTTTTTGATGGGGTTGTTTGTTTTTTTCTTGTAAATTTGTTTGAGTTCATTGTAGATTCTGGATATTAGCCCTTTGTCAGATGAGTAGGTTGTGAAAATTTTCTCCCATTTTGTAGGTTGCCTGTTCACTCTGATGGTAGTTTATTTTGCTGTGCAGAAGCTCTTTAGTTTAATTAGATCCCATTTGTCAATTTTGGCTTTTCTTGCCATTGCTTTTGGTGTTTTAGACATGAAGTCCTTGCCCATGCCTATGTCCTGAATGGTAATGTCTAGGTTTTCTTCTAGGGTTTTTATGGTGTTAGGTCTAACATTTAAGTCTTTAATCCATCTTGAATTAATTTCTGTATAAGGTGTAAGGAAGGGATCCAGTTTCAGCTTTCTACATATGGCTAGCCAGTTTTCCCAGCACCATTTATTAAATAGGGAATCCTTTCCCCATTGCTTGTTTTTCTCAGGTTTGTCAAAGGTCAGATAGTTGTAGATATGTGGCGTTATTTCTGAGGGCTCTGTTCTGTTCCATTGATCTATATCTCTGTTTTGGTACCAGTACCATGCTGTTTTGGTTACTGTAGCCTTGTAGTATAGTTTGAAGTCAGGTAGAGTGATGCCTCCAGCTTTGTTCTTTAAATTCTAATTATATTCTAAATAGTCTGTTTCAAATTGACACAGTAGGCTGTTGAGTTTGTGTTGAAGAGTAAATATCTAGTATTAACAATGTAATTTATGCAAATAGATGACTGTTGAGCAGAGATATGCCTTACCACATATGAAAAAAATACAAACCCCAGTAATCATGTCAGTATGCTGTTAGCATAGACTTAGCCAAAGGTGAGTGGAGAGAACAGAGTCCAGAAATAGATTTCAGAATCAATAAATTTCAATATGTGAAAAAGAAGGTATTGCAATTAGGCAGAAAAATATTGGCTAATTTAATACTTGTGGCTGGCACAAGTGACTATTTGTTTGAAAGAAATTTATATAAAAGCCTACTCTACACCATATGAAAACATATTGCAGATAAATTAAACATTTCAATATAAAATAAAATCACAGAAATGTTGGGAAATTTTAGGAGACCAAACAAATAAACTAGAGATTAGGGAATCTCTTAAAACATGTTAGGAAGGCCTGGCGCGGTGGCTCACGCCTGTAATCCCAGCACTTTGGGAGGCCCAGGTGGGCAGATCACAAGGTCAGGAGATCGAGACCATCCTGGCTAACATGGTGAAACCCCATCTCTACTAAAAATACAAAAAATTAACTGGGCATGGTGGCAGGCGCCTGTAGTCCCAGCTACTCGGGAGGCTGAGGCAGAAGAATGGTGTGAACCCGGGAGTTGGAGCTTGCAGTGAGCTGAGATCACGTCACTGCACTCCAGCCTGGTTCCAGAGCAAGGTTCCGTCTCAAAAAAAAAAAAAAAAAAAAGTTAGGAAAATTATTGGCTATAATGAAACTATCAAAATATTTGTTCTATTAAACATAAAATTATAGGCAAGACACATTATAAGTATAGTCAAAGGAAAACTATAGATTGGGAAAGTATTTACAATGCACATACTTGACATATGTACAATATTTATAATATCTCTCATATTCATTAGTGCTACCTTATTTCATGACATGATTTCAGTGTATATAAATTACATTGTGTTTTATGTAACCCCTAGAGACTAATGTGAATAGAAGCAGGGTTAGGCTCACAAGAGTTGTTCACTACCACAACCCTACTGCAAAGAGTTCCTACATGTTCATATGAGAAAGAAAGCCTTACAGAAAAGTTTGCAGAGGGTCTTTGACAGATCACATGTGGAAGAGACAACCAAATACACACTAAACACAAAAATATTGTGAGACTCATTAGTAGACATTTTTTAATTGTATTAAAATAATAACAGGGTAACTCTGTACAGGTTATCAAAAATAAAATAATAATCAGCACTGGCACCAATAAGTACAAAGGGTGAACGCACACATGTTTGCATAACTGGTGAAAGATGATTTCGTAGAGCTTTTTTTGGAATATAATATGGTAATTTTATATGATATTTATATCATATATATCTGTTTATATCACAAACAAAGACTTCTGTAACACAATAAGAAGATTCCAGGAAATCTACAGGTTTATTTGCATTTATTTATTGATATGGTAAAAATCTAGGATGGGGTCACTAACACTAATGCTACAATACAATTTTATGAGGATAAATCTAGAAATGAGCTAAAGCACTAGTAAGTAGGGAAGCTGTTGACAAAATTATGGAACATTCATCCCACAGAAATGTGAAGTCTTTGCAAGGATGAGTTAAATGTGTATGAGTTGTCTTGAGAAGATTTTATAATACAGTTCTAAGTGAGAAAATCAAATTGCAGTAATGTATATGTAATATAAGCTCAATTTAATACACAGAGAAGGGAAATACCTTCGTAAAAATTTTCACTTGAGTGTATGAACAAAGAGAGAAGTTGGGTTAATGGAAAGAGCAAGGAGACACCACAAATAAAGGAGATGATAAAAAAATGCTATATTAAAACTGCCAAGACAAAAAGCAAACTCGTTAAAGATAAAATAAAAAACAATATATGTGTATATATGCATATATTTATTTCTCTCTTACGAAAAGATTATTGCTGGTTATGTCTACTAATTGAAAATTTCAAGTGATTTTGACTTTCCTCTTACATTTTGCTATATTGTTTGAAGTATTTATAAAAAGCATGAATTATTTATATAATCAGAAAGAAACAAGGAAACATTTTTATTTAAAAAAGAAAACGTGTAATCCATGTGTAATATGTAAATTTGTGTAACTCAGAATAAGTTAATCATTGTAATAGCCTACTTCTATTATTTGTCACATCGGAGAGCTTCATGCATTGGTAATTCCCTATCTACAACTATCTAGCTGTCTTTCTGTCTATCTCTGAGACTTTCCAGGCTTTGCTTGTTATGAGGGTAAACAGGTCCTATCACAGAAATTTCCCAGGACATACCTTGAAGCCACTGCGCACTTGATTACCAGATACTGGGCCACATAGAATAAATGGTGCTGCTCTGCAATCTTCTGCTTCTAGTTTGTGATGCTTTCTTTCTTTGGTTTCATTGAATGCAGTTGCTCAGTCAGTACTGACCTCCCCTAGTAACCCCAGTCCTGTTCTCTTTCATGTAGTGAACAAGTCATTATTCTTTAAGTAATATTGTGCAATAGGATATTCTGCAATAATGGGAATGTTTACCTGTGCTGGCAATGTGGTGGGGACTGGCCACATGGAGCTCTCGAGCAGTTGAAATGTGGCTACTGACACTGAGAAACTAACTTTTAAAATTTTATTCAAGTTTTATTTATTTAAATTTAAGTAGCAAAAATGTGGCCTGTGGCTATTATTGAGCAGTGCCACTTTAAAATAAAATTTTCAGTGCTATTGGGATAGTAATAGCATTTTTCACCTATGTCTCATCTTTGGCTCTCCCAGACACACAAGTCTTGCAGGTGTGACTGTGCTGAGAGGTCACAGCCAGCTTGGATCAGGGGTCCTCAAGCCCCAGGCCATGGACTGGTACTGGTCCGTGGCATGTTAGGAACTGGGCCACATAGCAGGAAGTGAGCGGTGGGCAAGGGGTCATTACTGCCTGAGCTCCACCTTCTGTCAGATCAGCAGCGGCATTAGATGAGCACAAACCCTATTGTGAACTGCACATGTGAGGGATCTAGGCTGCGTGCTCCTTATGAGAATGTAATGCCTGGTGATATGAGGTGGAACAGTTTCATCCTGAAACTGTGCCCACCCCCCACCCCACCCCCATCCTTCCATGGAAAAATTGTCTTCTATGAAACTGGTCCCTGGTGCCAAAAAAGTTTGGGACCACTTCTCTGGATTACTCTCAATTCTTCTTCACCAGTGGTTATTTGTTTTTGGGGGTCCACATTATCTCCTCCAATCCAGAATGCACTGTGGAATCTCTACCATATAGAGAAGTTTGTTAATTTCCAAATTATCGTATGGATTGAATATGAATTATTTTTCATAGATATTCTGAACCTTAACAACTTATGGGATATACTTGAGAACCTTTTTCTTGTTGATAAATATTTTGTCAGTTATAATAACAAAATCCTAAACATTTTCTGAAAGAAGTTCATCTGCCAAAAGCACACTAGAAAGTGTTGTTGTCCAATTCTCCATCCAAGCCCATTAGAGCTTAATCTCTGAGCCTGGCAAAATTATACACATACAACCATCCCACAATTAAGGAGCCCTACATTTACCTTTAGATCAGGGGAATTTAAATGTTTTTTCTTCTGCACTCACCACAAAGGAGAGCACCAGCATAGTCACTGCAGCCCTTGTCTAAAGTTCATTTTCTCTGTCCCTATTCTGTCACCTCCCAGGAGGAGAACATGTCCCATATGCAGAGTCAGAATTTACTCATGAATTTACAGCATCACAAATTTGGAGTGTCATTCAATTTCCCTTGCTTTACTCCTGGACGCTTGACGGCTACTTCTTTTAGATTCTGGAAACACAACTTGCCCACCCCTTTCTGAGCAACACGTAGGCGCTGCCTATAGCACAGAGGTTCAGTGTAAGAACACTGGAGACAGACTGCCTGCTATTGAGGCCGGGTTTCTCCACATCCTAGTTGTGTGTAGTTGAGCAAATGTTGAACATCTGTCTCCCTGCCCTCATCTTTAAATGGGGAATAATAATAGTATGTATATTCCACAGGATGGTTGAAAGGATGAAATAAACTAATACCTAGTCATCCTTTGATATTTATGGGAGATTGGGTCCAGGACCCCCCTGCAGATATCAAAATCCACAGATGCTCAAGTCCCCTATGCAAAATGGCATAGTTTTTACTTATAACCTACACACATTCTCCTGTGTACTTTAAATAATCTCTTGATTACTTATAATACCTAATTCAATGTAAATGCTATGTAAATTGTGGTCATATGTATTTTTTATTTGTATTAATTATTATAGTACGGTTACTTTTTATTTTTTTTTCTAATATTTAAAATCGGAGGTTGGTTGAATCTACAGGTGTGGAACAAATGTATATGAAAGGCCAACCGCATAAAGCATTTATAACAATGCCTGGCAATACTACTGGCACTGCTACGTGCAGTGTCTCATCATTTGCTCTCCACTTGCTAAAGTTGGCTGCCCTTTTAACCTTCAAGAAGGAAGCCATATTAACAAGGAATTTTCCTTCTATGGGCAAGTTACACATACAGGCATACCTGGGATATATTGCAGATTCGGTTCCAGGCCACTGAAATAAAGCCAAAAAGGCAATAAAGTGTGTTACACAAATATATCTTTTTTTCTTTCTCAGTGCACATAAAAATTATTTTACAGTATACGGTAGTCTATTAATTCAATAGCACTATGTCTAAAAAATTTATATACCTTAATTCAAATACATTTTATTGCTGAAAAATGCTAAGTATCTTCTGAGCCTTTAGCAAGTTATAATCCTTATGCTGATGGAGGGTCTTGCCTCAATGTGGCTGGCTGCTGACTGATTAGGGTGGAGATGGTTCCTCAAGGTTGGGGTGTCTGGCAATTTCTTAAAACAAGACAACAATGAGATTTGCCACATTGATTGACTCTTCCTTTCATGAAAGATTTCTCTGTAGCCTCTGATGCCATTTGATAGCATTTTACCCAAAGTAGAACTTTCAAAACCTGTCTCAAACCTTGACACTGCTTTATCAACTAAGTGTATGTAATATTCTAAATCGTTTGTTGTCATTTCAAAGTGTTCATAGCATCTTCACCACTGGTGGATTCTATCTCAAAGAAGCCACTTTCTTTGCTCTTCCATAAGGAAAATCACCTCATTCTCTTCAAGTTTTGTCATGAAATTGCAGCAATTCATTCACACCTTCAGGCTTCACTTCTAATTCTAGTTATCTTGCTATTTTGGCCAAATCTGAAATTAATGCCTGCACTGATGTCATGAACCCCTGAAAGTCATCTATGAGCATTAGAATAAACTTCTTCCAATCTCCAGTTAATGGTAATATTTTGACCTCCTCTCATGAATCACTTATGTTCTTAAGGGTATCTAGACTGGTGAATCCCTTCCTGGTTTTCAACTGACTTCTCCCAGATCCATCAGAGGAATCACTATCTGTGGCAGCTATGGCCTTCTGAAATGTATTTCTTAAATAACAAGAATTGAAACTTGAAATTGTTCTTTTATCCATGGGCTGCAGAATGGTTGTTGCGTTAGCAGGCATGAAAACAACGCTTATCTCTTTTTACCTCTCCATCAGAGCTCTTGGGTGACTAGGTACATTGTCAATGAGCAGTAATATTTTGAAAAGAACTTATTATTGTGAGCAGTAGGTCTTGAAAGTGGTCTTAAACTATCCAGTAAACCATGCTATTAACAGATGTGCTGTCATCCAGGCTTTGTTCTTCCATTTGTTGAGCATAGACAGAGTAGATTTATCATAATTCTTTAGAGCCCTAGGATTTTTAGAATTGTAAGTGAGCATTGGCTTCAACTTGAAGTCACCAGCTATCTTACCCTCTAACAAGAGAGTCAGCCTGTCTTTTGAAAGTTTTCAGCCAGGCCTTGATCTCTCTAGCTATGAAAGTTCTAGATGGTATCTTCTTCCAATAGAAGGCTGTTTGATCTACACTGAAAATCTGTTGTTTAGTGTAGTCACATTCACAATCATCTTACCTATGATTTTCTGGATAATTTGCTGCAGTTTCTACCTCAGCACTTGCTGTTTAACCTTGCACTTTTATGTTATAGAGATAGCTTCTTTCTTTAAACCCCATGAACCAACCTCTGCTGGCTTCCAAGTTTGTCTTCTGCAGCCTCTTCACCTCTCTCAGCCTTCATAAAATTGAAGAGTGTTAAGACTTTGCTCTGGATCAGGCTTTGGCTTAAGGGAATGTTGTGGCTGATTAGATCTTCTATTCAGATCTTTAAAACTTTCTCCATATCAGCAATAAGGCTGTTTCACTTTCCTATTACTCATGTGTTCATTGAAATAGCACTTTTAATTTCCTTCAAGAACTTTTTCTTTGCATTCAAATCTTGGCTAACTGGCACAAGAAGCCTAGCTTTTTCCCTATCTCAGCTTTCAACATGCCTTACTCACTAAGGTTAATAATTTCTAGCTTTTCATCTTTTCATTTAAAGTGAGAGATGTGTGACTCTTCCTTTCACTTCAATACTTACAGTCCATTTTAGGGTTATTTATTGGCCTAATTTCAATATTGTTGTATTTCACGGAATAAACAGACCTGAGGAGAGGGAGAGCCAGGGAACAGCCAGTCGGTGGAGCAGTCAGAACACACACAACATTTATCAATTGCATTCACTGTCTTATATGGTCACAGTTCTTGGTACCCCAAAATAATTACAATAGTAACATCAAATATCATTGAACACAGGTAATCACAACAGATATAATAATAATGAAAACTTTTGAAATATTGTGAGAATTACCAAAACGTAACAAAGAGACCAAAAGTGAGCACATGTTATCAGGAAAATGGCGCTGATACATTTGTTCAAAGGAAAGTTGCTACAAACCTTCATTTTTTGAAAAATGCAGTATCTGTAAAGTGCAATGAAAGTATGCTATATTCCAGGGATACTTACATCTTTCATCTTTGGCTGGAAAAACACCTCTGAATACTCACACAACATCTTTTCAAGGTAAATCACTGGGGTGTAACTGTTATAAATAAGATGCGATATTACTATTATGTCTGCCATTTGAGATGGAGAATAGTAATGCTGAAAATATGCTTTAATTCAGAGTAAGTTTTCAGTTTTTAATGATGAGCTTAGCACCACAGTTTTCACAAATGCTATACTGATAAATGAGTGATCGTAAATTATTAGTATAGCACAGAAATTGTTTTGTAGAATCAAACAAATTCAGGGACAGGGGTGTGGAAACCATCATTTGTGACCATTTTTATGTTCACGTTAAATTATTTTAAAATTCTTTTGCCATGAAAATTTCTGTCTTGACTCTTGTGATTGTCCTTATAAATTGGAATGTAAAATATGGCTAACAGGTACATGTAATAGTGTTGCTAATGAATAATTGATGCCTTAATAGTCTTTGAAAATCTCATTACCTGATTGTTGCTAAGAATTTTCTGGTAAGGGCTGCCTACGAAACAGAGGAATGGGAAATTCCTCTGACTTTTTACCAATGATAGAACCCTAGAGGTGATGTGCTTGAAGAGGGAGACAAGACCAGATTTTGGATTTAAAGTCTGAAAGGCAGATGTTTATTCAACTGATCTAACAAGCTATAGGGTCAATAGAGAAGTAAAATAAGAAAATGAATGAGGATTGCCAGAAGAGAAGACATGGGAAAGCAAAGAAGAAGCCTATTGTGAGTAATTCCAAAGCAATTTTATGACCCATGAATTGTTCCTTTTCTGTACCAGCACACTTATTTCCAGAGACTTTAAACGTGTTATCAAGTTTGACTTATCTGTACTCCCTCATCCCTCAACTTACATCTGGACCAAATCTTGGTTTATTTGGTGTGCAGGTGTCCCATAGCAGGAAATATGACTGAGATGAGTTTATACTTATGAGATAAAACACCCAGCTGTAGAATCTGCTGCTAAAGAGGTTAGGGTAAGGAGAGGGGCTGGAACTTAGACTTTCTGAAACAAAGACTTGGATAATTCATTATAAAGCTGTCTGTCTCTCAATTTTCTCTTGGGTGGATGGTAATAATAGACAAGTCCAGTATGGTATTTTTGGTTTGGAATGAAGACTTTGGGTAAAGATGCTATAGGAACGTTCTTCTTTTAGTGAGTAGTATAGCAATTCAGCAGGTTGGGAGGTTAGCACCTTATCATTACTTACTTACTTATCATTACCATACTTACCTACCCTTCCAACAAATTGTTCACACACTTCTCTGGCAACCCATCTTAAGTGTCTTGTAATATACAGGCTCATTAGGATAGAAGTACCTTAATTAAGAACCTAAAAGAATTGACATGAATTGGGATACCTGGTATACCTAAAATGAAATGATGATACTGAATTATCCACACAGTGAAATAGCTGAAAAAAAAATAGAACCAAGGTGTTCAGGGATGAAGATGGTCCAGCATAAACCAGGGTTGTCTCCAGGATATGGGACTTTCCTGTTTTAAGACTGGAAATACCCTGGGCAAACTAGGACAAGTTGTTCACCTTAGTCAAGCATCTAACGGTAGACTATTATCAGAATGACTGCCATAACTAAGATGGTTTCATGGACCTACAATAATAAATGATCTGAAGTAGGGTCAAATGAGGGGATCCTCCAGAGACATCCAAGGTATGGAGTCTTGCTCTTTCAGTTTTCCAGACAGCTTCATCTAAGAATATGTAGTACACATTGTATCTGGATTTCTAATATTTAGACATTCCTATAAGCCTGACTGAGTATTTGAAAATCTACTTCCTGAGAACTGAATAGAAGAAATGAAAAAGTTTGATGTAAACCATAATCTGGGTTTCTAAGGTAGGAATTCCTTTATGATAGCCTAATATAGGATGTGCCTGTTGGTAATAGAATTGTTTTCTAATATCTTGGAAAGATGTTTGCTGAAATGATGTCCTGTCAGTAAAACACCCTAGAACCTTAAAAGTCTGAGTACTTAAAAAAAAATCCTGGAAACACAAAGATTATCAAGGATACATGAATAGACATAAAGCAAATACATGCCAGGAAGGTTATACCTCTATCAGGGAATTGGGATTTTCGTGGTGTCTCATATTTGGGAAAAGGAGATTGTCTATGAAGTGGCAATCTTCTTCACAGAAGCTTGTCTATGAAGCTTATTGGGACATAGTACTCATACTATAAATTTCTGCTGTCACAGCTAAGAATGAACAGAGGATTTCTTTTTATTACAAACACTCCTCTTCAGCTGTGTGTGCTGTCTGCACCTGCAATATGGGAGAGCAGTTGAGGAAACATGATTCATTGTATTTTGCCACTCTGTTAGCCAAAGTGCTAGATTATCCCACAATTCCTTGAGAATTTTAGCAAACAGGATCACACTTGTTCAAGCTTAAATCATTTACCTAATTAAATACTTGGAAAGAATAAATAACAGCAACTAACAGTTCCCTGATCCTGCCAGAGGGTAGTGAATTACTTAATTTGTGCTCTCTGCTTGAGATGGACATCAAAAATAGTGGAGAGCTCTTTTAGGAATATCTTATAACATATGCAAGGAGAGATATGTAGAAGCTTTTCTTCCCTTCCTCCCTCCCTTCCTTCCAACATTTCCTCCCTCCCTCCCTTCCAACCTTTCCTCCCTCCCTCCCTCTCTCCCTCCTTCCCTTCCTCCCTCCATCCCTCTCTTCCTCCCTTCCTTCCTTCCTGAAATATTATTTGAGCAAGATACATACAGGCAGAAATACAAAATTTTATAAGAATACAGAAAGGAGAACTGCATGGAATCAAATTCCAGTTGACTTGCCGATATAAATCAACATATTTTGATTGTTCCTTTTAAAGGGTTTCTTCATGCCTTGTGAAAAACAAGTTGGAGATCACCTGCTAATAGTGATAAGGGTAGCAAGGATGTTTGATGTTGGTTACGTGGGGATGTATGGAATATTTGTTGTGCAATTTTATCAGATAAATATTGAACAATGTGCAAGCCATATGGGAGGTCTAGTTATGGTGTGGGATCTTCAATTCATAGTAGTGCTAATTTGTTAATTTAGATGACTTTCTAGAGCTATGTTCAGCTGCCCAGAAGGCAAAAAAAGTCAGAAGAACAAGAGAAAATTATTAAATAATGGACCATATCATTGAACTCAGGTAAAAAAGTGAAGACAAAATAGGAAAATAATAAGGAAAAAGTATCAAGGTGGTTAAAACATTAAGTGAGATTAGTTTGGTCAAATGAGCTAGAAGGACAGAGAACATGATACATAAATTAGTGACTTGGGAAATAAAACAATGTTAGGCCCTGGAATTAAGGGCATAGAGGAATTTGCTCATACTATTTTATGCAGCAGAAAAAAATGATGTAGAGGGAGGTAGGAATAGATATGAAGGTCAGAACCCAGGAAGCTAAGGAGCATTGTACAATGATAGCGTATTAAAGAACAGGCTGCCAGCCTAGGCTGTGAGCATGGGTGGGTGGAGACAATGTGGAGTGTGTTAATAATGGTTCTCAGATGCAAATAATAGAACTTACTTGAGTTAGCTTGAACAGAAAAGGATTTAGTGAGGAACCGGAGAACTACAGTTAGATCCTATACAACTAAGAAACATACAGGCAGGAACAACTCAGGAGAAACATACAACTAATGACATCACTAGTGTCACTGTCCATGCTCAGAACTTCTGATGCTAGTGACTGGAAGATAAAAATAAAAAAATAATCAGTTACCTTGAATAACTGGATGCCTCTGTGATGCTGGTTGCTCTGTGGAAGAAGCCTCTCATGCTGGTTGTTCTGTGGAAGAAGCTCCTGCATCATGTTGATCACTTCCACATCTGAGGACAATGCAGATGTATCTGTGCGGAGAAACATATGTCACATGCAGAATCCTAGCTTCCCAGAGCTCTTTCAGCTTTCCAGCCCCCATAGTATATTAGATAAGGTGAGAATCAGTGCTAAGAGTGAATCTGCCATATCTGTCCCAGAATAGTTTATATTTGAGTATTAATTGGTAGAAAAATAAATGAGACTCATGATGAAGTTAGAGTCAAATGGAGAGAACTCTTTGCTTCCCAGCTTTTTGTATGGTTGGCCAGACAGCAGTGGTCACATGACAAAAGATTCAGTGTAGTGTATGTGCTCAGTTTTGACTTTTCAACTATGGACACTGCCAGTTCAAGAGATGGAAGTCTCTGTTTATATATATGAAGTATGGCCTCTTTTCTTTCTCTTTTTTATGTGGGGCATAAAGAATTATATGCATCACCTTGTATAAGAATTGACCATAGTTTTAAATATAACAAATAAAACTAAAAAATTTTAAAGGAAATCACAGGAATATGTTACCATGACCTTATGTTAGGCAATTGTTTCACGTATTTGACACATGTATAAGTTATGAAAGAAAAAAATGCGCAAATTGTACATCATCAAATTAAAAGATTTTGTAATTAAAAGGACATCATCAAAAAAGTGAAAAGATTTAGTTGTTAATTTAGGTGTCAATTTGACTTCATTAAGAAATACCTAGAGACTGGCAAAGAGTTATTTCTGGGTGGGTCTGTGAGGGTTTTTTAGAGGAGATTGGCATATCAGTCACTGGACTGAGTAGGGAAGATCTACCCTCAATGTCAGCAGGAACCATCCAATCAGCTCGACACCCAGATAAAACAAAAAAGGCAGCAAAAATGTGAATTCAGTCTCTCACACACACACACACCTGCTCTGCCCCATCATTGCCCTTCCTCCATGGAATGACACAGCAAGAAGGCCCTCACCAGATGCCATCTTCTGGATCTTGAACTTTCCAGGCCCTAGAACCATAAACCAATTCATTTCTGTTCATTGTAAATTATCCAGTCTCAATATTCTGTGACAGCAGCACAAAACAGAATAAGACAAATGATAACCCACAAATCTGTGTGAAATACTTTAAAATCATATTTTTGATAAGGAACTTGTATTTATATATGAGTAATTCTCAAATTAAACAATACAATATGCATAATATAAGACCAATTTTTAAATGGGTAAAATATTTGAATAGACATTTCTCTAAAGAGGATATACAAGCGGCCAATAAGCACATGAAAAGTTGCTCAACGTCAGTAGCCCATAGGAAAATGTAAATCAAAACCACAGTGAAGTGTAATTTCTTATCCATAACGGTAGCTAAAACTTAAACAGACAGACCATAAAAAGTATTATGAAGTGTATAGAGGAACACAGGATAGTAAAATAGTGCAGTCACTTTGGGAAACAGTTTAGCAGTCCCTCAAAATGATAAATTATGAAGTCACTATATAATATGATGATTCTACTCATGGGTAGACTAGAGAGAAGTAAAGTCATAAGTCCACACACAAAAATGTACACAGATGTCCATGTCAGCTTTATCCATAAGAATCAAAATGTAGAAACAACCCAAAGGTCCATCAATGGAAAATAAAATGTGGACTATCTATGCATTTGGATATTACCTGGCAATAAAAAGGAATTAAATATTTATGCATGCTATGTTACATGGATTAACTTTGAAAGTATTAGTATTATTCTTAGAGAAAGAAGCCAGTTAAGGAAGATCCCATATTATATGACTACATTTATATAAAATGTCCACAGTAGTCAAATTCATGGTGATGAAAATTCAATTAGTAGTTACTGAGGGCTATGGAAAGGTGGGAATGTGAAATGATTACTAATGGGTAGGAAATTTCCTCTTGTTGTGATAAAAATATTTTAAAATTAGATCATGCTGATGATTGCACAATCCTGGGATTATAATAAAAGCCACTGAAATGCACACTTTATAATACGTTTAAAGTATAAATATGAAGCTATTATTAATATTAATATGTGTGTGCATGTATATATTACACATATGGAATTTATATGCATATAAGATACACATATATAAATATATACACATATATGCATGCACACACATATTAATAACATGTATGTTACCTGAGTTTGTCAAATATATAATATATATTACATATATGTGATATTGTATATATATATTTCACATGCTCAGTTAACATACACTTACACTCCCCTAATGTGAACTAACAAAATACTAGATTCCCTGATAATTTTGGACATCCTTTATTTCCATACTCTTTCTGCTTTGGTACCATCTTTGTGTAATTACAAATTCTCAATTCTGTCTTTATAATCTTTCTCCTGGACCCTTGCCCTTTACTTTCTTCTTAGTCTTCTTAGTTTGATTCTTCTATTTTCTACTTGTTGACTTCTGCTGTAGAACTTTCAATAATTGACCCACAGTCAGATGTAATGGCCCACAGCTGTAATCCTAACACTTTGGGAGGCTGAGGCAGGTGGATCTGTTAAGTCTAGGAGTTTGAGACTAGCCTGGGAAACATAGAGGAGACCTCATCTCTACAAAGAAAAAAAAAATCTTAGCCAGTTGTGGTGGGCCCGTACCTGTGGTCCCAGCTACTAGAGAGGCTGAGGTGGGTGGATCGTTTAAGCCTGGGAGGTAGAGATGCAGTAAGAAATGATCGCACCACTGCACTCCAGTATGGGTGGCAGAGCAAGAATCTGTCTCAAAAAAAGCAAACAAAAAACACAAGTAATTGACCCATTAGCTTAGGACCACCTGTGTGATGTAACTTACTCTAATTTTCTCTGTAGTATCTCCATCTTTGCCAGCTATTTTGTCTGACATTCTGGTATCAGGAACCTCCCGCTTATAATGGCAACTATCACTCTCTAATCATTGTTTCCAATGACCATTATGTTCAATGAGGAAACTGCATCCCAGTCGGTTTGGAGAGGGAAGAAGTACATGTCAAAAAATACATGTCTATGCATATCGATGCCATACCCTTCAATTTACAGGAGGGTTCTCACATCACCATCATGCCACAGATTTTAAGGAATTGGAAACTGTTCCCTCAAGATCTATTTCCCTTATACAGATACAGATGCAATACATTGCCATCATGCAGGGTGTCAATCTGTATGAAGATCTGTATATGTGATCATTATAATATCTTAGTATGGGAAGGTGATAACTGAGCAGTACCTTCTGCATCTTCCTTTGAGGATACTTCAAGAACATTTTTGGCTCTCCTTGCCTTTACATTTGACATACTTGCACAGATGATTTGTGGAATACAGCTCTTAGTGATTCTGCCTTGAAGATGAAGGATCTACTGCCAGGGCAACATGGGCATGACGCCGTTCATGACATATTTTTGAGTAGGCATCTCAAGATGAATGCCCCAAACTACTGAATATAATTAGTCTGTGAGAGACACAGCTCATGACACTCTCTGCTGTTCATTACCATGGAAAGAGTCACTTCCAAAGAGGAAGAAATAAAAAGCAACATTGATGTGTTGCCGGTTGACATCACCAGAGTGAGCATGTTGCGAGGTAGAATGGATATATGTGTCCTTTGGTGTTCAAGAGACATGCAGGTACTCCTTCTGCATGTACTGGGCAAGAGTACAACCACTGCCTAGATATGACATTTCAGGAGTAATAGGGGAATCTGTGAGATTCAGCCTTGTGCTGTCACTGAGACTGATTCTTCAGTCAGGCTAGCAAGGGTTTAATAGCTGGCCACATTGCCTATATTTTGAGCTCATGCAGATTCTCATCACAGTGATTTTAGCTGTGTTGCATAGGGTTACAACTTTGAATTTTTTCAACAATTTTAGCTCTTGAAAAACATGTTATAATCATTAATATTTCTTTTGTTTCAGAGACACAAGGCCGTCACACAATTAAATGTATTCAAAAGTTCCTGTAGCTTGCCAGGTACCTTAACCTCCACTTTTTTTTTGCATATAATTTTTATTAATGAGATTGCTTAAAAAGGAGTTTGTCTTTAAAAAGCAATATGTATTGCTGCTACCAGGTGACAGAATTTAGAATCAGGCTGCCTCTGTATTGTGCAAATACCAGATCTGCCACATATTAACTGTATGTCCTTGGGCAAGATAATCTTTTTGCCTAACCTGATGCCTTCCTCATCTGAAAAAATACAGAGAAGGAGAATAATGGTTCTTAATAAGATTGTTAGGGTGTTAACTCGTTTACTAATGTAAAGAGGACTTATTAAAGTATGTAATAAGTGTTCATTATAATTATTTTGCCTATTATTAGTATATTGGCCTTTACATTTGGTTTCTCTAGTGATTTTGGATCTTCCTTTTGGACTATGGTACAAATCTTTCCCAATAACTCTTCCCACATTGGATTTCCTACGATGGTCCTTATTCACTTCTAGAGAACCAATCCTCAGCTCCAGTCTATGGATTATCTTGCAAATTCCTAGCGAGAACTAAGCGGGGAAGGCACAACGTTATTAGGTAGAGAAAGCGGGAGAGGTTTTCGGACTCAGATACTATATGTAAGTACCTTTCTAAGCACAGGAAACACACAGCATCCGCCAGGGGGTGCTTGTCTTGTATAGACTGGTTAATTTTTGTCCAGCTCAGTCAGGGAAGATCCTTCAGAGACCCAAGTTGAACAGACACTAAAATGAATGTGTTCTTGAATATGACGTGGAATTTTGTGCTTGGTGCTCACTTGCCTGGACATAAAACTATTTTTACAGCCTGAAGTCACATAATGAAGTTTTAATAGAGGCATTAGAATAGCATGAATACTCCATGTAAGAGAAATATTTAACCATCCTCTCCTTTCAGCTCTATTTCCTCAACACACTAGCTCCTAAACACACACACACACACATACACACACACACACACACACACACTTAATAACCTGGCCCATGCAACCCTACTTATTTATGTATATGATTTATTTTGTATGCTGAAAACTGTGATGTTTAAGACCCACTGTAACTTCTTATTTGGTCTCATTGAGTCAGAAACTGCATGGTGCCTTTATTCCAAAAAGAACCACATAATGCCATCCTGAATTTCATAAACACATCCTTCATATTTTATTATTTCATAAGTCACTTGAATTTTCTACATAACCTGTAGCAAGTTCTTTTGATTATTTATAAGATACACTGTACTAGTAAGATATATAGACCTGTGAGCTTTTGCCCTGATGGCATAGATGGAAAAGTAGTTTCAGTGACTAGATTAGGAAGAACCTATCGCTTTGTTCCTGATAAGTCTTTATTAAAGACAAGCATTTTACAAAATTTAGAAAATTAAACTAACCCCTGTTTTAGTGGGTTGATTAAACAATTTTTATAGGAATGTATGGATTTGAAATGCTTTTAAAATCTTATTTCATTAATATAATTACCATTCAAAATTAAGTTACACAGAGTATCTCAATTTGTTGCTCATGGGATAGGATCTCTCTTAGTTTAAAATTACATTATACTCAGGAAAGCTTCAAACTATCAGGTTAGCTTGTTTGGCAGATTGTTAGATTAATTCTCTAATTCACTGAAATATCTATTACAATTTTCAAAAGAATTGACTATAATGAATTAGAGAGCTAATCTTAACAATTTATCACTCAAATGAGGTCATCACAGCTAGTGGAATATTCAAGACTACCAGCCTATTTCTAACATTTTCTTTATATGGAAAAATATATTTTACATTATGCTCTATCATATTTTTAATGGATTATAAAATATACTAAAGAGCTGCTGTATTATAAAATAAAAATTACTCATAATCAGCCTGCTGTAAATTACTTGTATGAAGTTATTAATTATAATCTTGGCAAATAGTTAATATGACAGTGTGATGCATTGATAAACAAGGAACAATGGTATACTCAAGTTCTAAAATTTTAAGCATTTATTAGAAAATCCAGAGAAAATTACAAACTACATTTGTTCACTGTGGGTATATTTCATTTAAAATAACAATAGTGATTGTTAATATATTTTTAAGTAGTAGTATAAATATTTAACTGAAGTTTGTTAACTTTTTAAATTCTCAAATATAACTGAAGTTTATAAAGAAATATTGGTCCAGATTTGCTTTTTTTGAATTTGAGAGATTTATAGGGAAACCTAGGAAACTAAGTTACAAAATGGCATGTTACCGAAACATTCACAATGAAGAGAAAATGGCCAAACAAACAATAAAAAATAAAACTAATCTTGATTTAAGCTGGACTAATATACTTCAAGCTCCATGTCTTGGGAATCAGCATTGATTCATCAGAAAGGTTAGATTGCTCTGTCAGTTTGGACCAAAGCTTATACATTATTTTCTGCTGTTGTTCTTTAGAACTCCTGTCTTTTTACAAATGCTGACATGTGCATGTGTCCTGACACTCTTTCCTGATAAAATGTGCATCCTATGTCCTGTACAGTACAGTCTTTTTGTGTTTAGACTAGTCCCACTCTTTTTTTTTTTTTAACTTCCCTCATTCTCTACAGAAATTCATTCTACCTCCCCACTGGGAACACAGCCTGCCCCAAGTATCAGCCAAGAGCCAGGCACTGTTATGCACCCAAGAATAGCCTTTAAACTGCTTGTCTCCATACATTTTAATCTGCTTTGCTACTATATACAATGTTTTCCTAAACTGCTTGCCAATCAGAATGTTATATATTATGTATCCCAAAATCCAATCTATATAGTTTTGTACAGTCTGAATTTACTGTGCTTTTTTTCTTTTTTCAGATAGCCATCATTCAGTGTGTGTGTTAGTTCCTTATATTTCGTGATGTTTTGATCATAAGCTTATGTTTGTTAAGCATCCAGATGAGAGCTGAGCTCTGGGTGGCACCTTGATTATAGTCAGAGGACCTGGCTAAGCTGTACCTAGACTCCTAACCCACAAAAACTGTGGGATGATATATGTGTTTGTTTAAGCAACAATAGAAAAATGATATAATTAGCTTATCTTAACTCATATAAAATGTAAATATAAAGAATTTAATGGAACAGAATTGTAGATGCGGGAGCTGAGTCACACAGATATAAGAAAATTTGGATCTTCAAATTATGGCAAAGAATAAATAATTCAGTAAGCAGTTTCAGAAAATAATATCCATTTGAAGAAAAATTATACTATATTCATACTTAATATTGTATAGAATATAAATAAGGTGGATTAAATATCTAAATGTACAAATTACAAAGCATTTTTACATGTATGCATTTAATACATTCATATGTAATGCGGGAGAAATCACAAAATGAGATTTTTATAATATTGTGATGATTGATGCATTATTAAGATATGAAAAGGATGCTACATATGACAATAATTAAAACTAATATGCATAAGCATATATTTCATTAATGCTTTGGTGGAAAAAGCATTCTTTTTATTTTTAACCTTTTATTTTGAGGTAATTATTGCATCACATACAGTTATAAGAAATAATAGAGAGAAGTCCAGTATACCCTTCACCTGGTTTCCCCATTGGTAACATCTTTCGTAATGATAGTATAATATCACAACCAGGAGAAGGCATTTGACAGTATCTCAACCTTATTCAGATTTCACCAGGCTTATATGTGCTCATTAGTGTGGCTGTATATTTAGTTCTATAAAATTTTAGCACATATGTACATTTATTTGATCACCTCTGCAGTCTAGATAAAGAACATTTCCATCAAAAGGATCAGTTGTGGTACCTTCAATAGCCATACTCTCTGACTCATTGTGCTTCCTTCTCTAGTAATTATCCTCTAGCAACTACTGATCTCCATCTCTATGATTCTGTCATTTCAAGAATGTAATATAATTAAGACTTACACGTTGTATAACCATTGGAGAGTGCCTTTTTTTTTCCCACACAGCATTATTCCCTGAGAACCATCGAAGGTGTCCCATGTAGATAGTCCATTCCTTTATATTGCTGAGTAGTATTACATGGTATTGGATTTGTTTACATCCTAGTTTGCTAAGCATCCACCCTTTGAAGGACATTTGTGTTGTTCCCAGTTTTTGGCTACTAAAAATGAAAATACTGTGATCATCAATGTTTTGTTTTTTCGTATAATGTAAGGTTTTATTACTCCAAAAGGTACGCAAGTGTGATTGCTAGGTCGTGTGGGAACTGCATGTTTAGTGTTTTTTGTTTTTTTTTTTTTTCATTTTAAGACTTGCCAAAATGTTTCCCAGAGTAGCTGTATCATTTTACAACCCAGCAGCAATGCATGAAGTAATGCATCTCCACGTCCTTGTCAGCACTTGGTGGTGTCATTATTTTTATTTTACCCACTTTCATAGGTATATAGCAATATCTCATTATTGTTTTGATTTTCATTTCACTAATGGCAAATGATGTTGAGTATCTGCCTAACTTCAGTTAAATGCTTGTTAAAGACTTTGACCATTTTCTATTTTTTT
Organism: Homo sapiens; assembly: GCF_000001405.40. Lineage (NCBI taxonomy): Eukaryota > Metazoa > Chordata > Mammalia > Primates > Hominidae > Homo > Homo sapiens. The sequence continues at coordinate 180,025,018 of NC_000004.12, read as the reverse complement.
TCTATCAAGTTTTCAGAGTTCTTTGTATATTCCAGATATAAATTCTTTGTCAGATATGTGGCTTGCAAATGTTTATTTCCAGTCTGTAACTTGTCATTTCATCCTCTTCATGTACCTTTTCATAGAGTAAAATTTTTTAATTATGATGGGGTCCAATTTGTCAATTTGACCTTTTATGGATTGTGCTTTTGATGACAATTGGAACTCTTCACTTAGCCCTAGGCCTTAAAGTTATTCTGTTGTTGTTGTTGTTGTATAGTTTTACACTTATGCCTGCTATCTATTTTTAGTTAATTGTATACAAAATGTGAGATTTAGGTTAAGGTTCATTTTTAACATCTTGAAAGTCTATATATTTCCAGTTTCTCCAGCAACTTTAAAATGACTACTTTTCTTCCATTGACTTGCTTTTGCAGCTTTGTTAAAATTCAGTTGAGTATATTTGTATGGGTCTATATCTGGATTATGTATTTTTTCCATATGTCTATGTGTCTATCCCCTCCAGCAATACCACAGTGACTAAATAGTAAACCTTCCCATTATGCAGGCTGATTCTTACACTTTATTCTTTTTTCAAAAGTGTTTTTTTCTTCTATCTAGTGCCTTCCATATATATGTTAAGATAAGCTTTTCTATACCTATGAAAATCCTTGCTAGCATTTACAGAAACAATTGAATTCAACCTATAGATTAATTAGCAGAGAGTTGACGTTTTTATTATGTGGACTCTTCCAATTGTGAACAAAGTATGTGCTTTCAATTATCCAGTTCTTGTTTGAATTTTTTATCAGCCTTTTGTAATGTCAAATACGGATCCTGCACCTGTTTTCTGACATTTATACATAAGTACTTATTTTGGGGGAAACAATTATAAATAGTATCATGCATTCCAATCTGTATGCCTTTTATTTACTTTTCTTGCTTTACTTTGCTGGCAAGATCTTCCAGTACTACGTTGCATCCCGCATATTTTGATATTATGTGTTTTCATTTTCATCTAGGTTTATGTATTTTTAAAAATTCCTTTTTGACCCAAGGATTATTTAGAAGTGTGTTGTTTAATACCAAATGCTTCGAGATTTATTGCTCACGTTTCTGTTATTGATTTCTAGTTTGATTCCATGGTGGTCAGAGACTATATTCTACATACAGTTTCAATTCTTTTAAATTTGTTGCCATTTGTGTTATAGCCTAGGATATGATCTGTCTTGGTCAATGTTCCAAAAGCATTTGAACAAAATGTATGAGTTCTGTAATTTTGTGGTGGGGTGTCCATCTATGTTGATTGGGTAATATTTTTTGATTCAATTATTCTGTATTCTTGCTGATGTTGTCTCTAGTAGTTCTATCAATTGCCAACAAAGAGGTGCTGAGATCCTGAATTATAATTATGATTTGTTATTTTATCCTTTCAATGCTATCAATTTTCGCTTCATGTATTTTGAGGCTCTATTATCTGAAAACCATCCATTTAGGATGGTTTTGTCTTTCTGGTGGATTGATCTTTTTAATCATTATATAAAATGTCTCCTACTTTTCTTTCCTCTGAAGTTTATTTTATTTCATATTAATGAAGCCATTCCTGGTTTGTTTTGATCAATATTTGCACACTATGTCTCTTTTTATCCTTTTACTTTTAAATTACTGGTGTTATTACATTTCATAATGAGTCTCTTGTAGATAACATAGAGTTGGGTCATGTTTTTTAAACACACTGCCAACATCTTTCTTTAATTAGTGTATTTGGACCATTTATAATTAAGGTAATTGGTGATATTGTTAGAATTTAAGTCTGACATTTTATTATTTGTTTTCTGTTTGTTTCCTTTTTTCATTCCTCTGTTTCTCTTATACTTGGTTCCCCTGTGTTACTTAAACTTTGTTTAGGGTTGCATCTTGATTTGTTTATAGTATTTTAGTCTATTATTTTGAATAATTGTTTTAGTAGTTGTTCTAGATAATTTGAAATACAAATGTCACTTATCATAGTTGTCTTCAGTATTTCTTTTACTTACACTGAGTACTATATCAAAGTATAATTTTTGCCTGAACCTTCAAAGGTGATTTAAAAGCTAATGAAAAAAAAAGCCCATTATATTTTATTTTTATTTTACTTATTATGGTTTTCTTTGCTTTCTGAAGTTCCAAGCCTTCTGTTATAACTGCTTTTCTGTTTAGGAAATTTCCTTAAGCCGTTCTTGAAGGGTAAGCTTGCTTATTACATCTTCTCTTAGTTTTTCTTTTTTTGAGAATGCCTTTATTTCCCCCATCATAACACTGAAATATATTTTTGCTGAATGGTATTGACAATTTTTTCAGCACTTGGTCTCAGGTGATAAGTCCCTTTCAATTCACTTGATGTTTGTCTATGAGTAATACCTTCCTTTCTAGGTGCTTTCTGTGTGCTTTATTTATTTTTTTGCTTTTAGTCTTCAGAAGTTTAATTGTGCTTTGTCTTGGTGTGGATTTCTTTGGGATTATCCCATTTGTGGCACAGTCAGGCTCTTGAATCTGTAGGTTTATATCTTTCATAGAATTTGAAAGGTTTCACCCATTATTTATTCAAAAATTTTTTAGTTCCACTCTCTCTCCTATCCTTCTGGAGCCTTTATGATATAAATGTTAGCTCTTTAGTTATTGTCTCATGAGACTGTGTTCATGATTCTTTCAGTCCATTTTTTCTCTGATGGTTTGTGTGGATTCTCTTTTCTCATTTCAATTGTGATTTTCCTCGTACGTGCTATGACAAGTGATTTGCAGTTGTACCTTGTACATTTTATGTTATGAGACTCTGGATCCAATGTAAGCTTCTTTTTTAGTAGGTAGTTCCCCTGTTGAAGTGTAGTGCGAGGGCCGGTTGGATATGTATGTTAAGCGTCACATCTACAAATAGGGAGCTTTGTTTCAGAAAGGTGGGTTGAAAGTGCAGCTCTCCTGTGGCATTTATATTAAGGACCTGTATTGAAAAAGACCCAGGGAACTTAGCACTGTGTCTTCCTTTCTCAAGTTACAAGAGTACTAGGCAGCCCTTCTTTCGTCCACACTTCAGAGTTTTTCTATTCTTTGCTTTTTTCTTGTTCTGGGATTGTTAGTTGTACGAGGGAGGATCTGGGAGGAATGTGGCTACTCCGTTCTAGTGGGATCCTTTTGAATTTTACTAGGCAAATATCAGAGTATGTGCATATCTTGCAATACAACTTTTCAAATTAAAGCTTATTTATAAAAAAACACATATTTACATCTTAAAACACAGTAACACATTTTAAAGAAAGTTATCTAGAGACAAATCTCAAATTACATTTCAGAAACAATTACTAGAATGTCAAAATCACATGTAAACATTTTGCAAAGCACACTGATGGTTTACAAGGGAATTTGAATCAGATCTTGTTGGCACTTTGAGAGAGATTGTAGTAGATCGGCTATGTAGATGCAAAAATAAACATTTTTCTGAGATGTTATGGCAATGAAATAGGAGCTTTCCTTCAAAGCAGAAGACCTGTTTTGTCTGATAGTATTATACAAAGAGAATGTGAATGTTAAAATTTGAAGTGCAAGCAAAGTTTTCTTTTAAGATTTTTCATCCTAAAACTACAACCACATCACTGAAGTTTTTCTGTTCAAAAGTTTTTACAGCAGCACCAGAATGACAGAAGATCTGTATTGGGTTCTGAGTTGGATAGTAACTGCCTCTTCACCTCACTTGCCTTCACTATCAACTTCCATAACCAGTGAAAAATAATGAAATAATGGCAATCAATCCTCTTCTGCTCTTGGCATCTCAGCTTTTCCCAAGCCTTAACTCTCCACCTCAACTGGTAAGTTATAGTTTATTACAGGAAATTGCTATTTTATTGTAAATTTTCATGTGCAGTTTTTCTAGCCAATTTATTTATTGCTATGTGTTATTGGCCTTTCCATATCATAAACAGAATGTCTATGGTGTGACATGTAAACTGTACATTTTACTGCATACAAAACGAATTTAACAACCACATTAATTGTTTGATGATTAAGAAAGAAGGTTTTACGCATTTTTACATTCAAACATGATCATTTATAAGTAAGCGTTTTATTGCATTTAGTGAAAATTTAGAAAACTGGTTGTGTGTTTTGATTGAGATATAATACATCATATTTTTCCCATGTCTAATTATGGAGAATAGGTCATTATTCCCTATCATCCTGGTAAATATCCTCTCAGTGTTTTTGGATTTTAGAATCAGATTGTTTACATGAAGTGGGAGATGCTTGCCTTCTAAAATAATATCTTGCAACAAAGCACTTGATAAAATATTACAAACTTTTAAGTACAGAGCTAGGCTTATAAGTAGACAAGGTTTCAGAGTATAATGGGAACTTTTATCCCTAGTTTTAAGGTAAAGTTGAAGCTATGAGGGCCCATGAAGGGTGTTGTATTTCGTTTGCTTTGGCAGTGCCCTTGGTTTGTAGTCTTAGGGTTAAGGGATGCAGTGAACAGGAGGAAAGAGTCTGACTCAACGTGGCAGAGAATGCTTGTTGCCTGCCCTATGTACTTTCCCCATTAATCTTAATTACTGAACCCCAATTTTATTTCGGTGGCAGCGTGCCCAGCTACAGACTAACAGCCATTTTCCCAGAGGGAAGTAATGATGGGCACATAAATTCTGGCCAGTGTGACACAAGTGGTAGGTATTGGGTGACTATCATATTACATCTCTTTATAGGAGTCAGCAGTTAGGAGAATATTTTTCCCTTGCTTTCTCTTCTTTCTGTCAGGAACAGGGAGCATGAGGTTGTATCCCTCATTTGCAATTAGTAGCCTTCATCATTAATGCTTTGTCTTAAAGCTGGGAGTGTAAATGTAGAAGAAAACTGGGTTCATAACAGCTATGGAATCATCATGTCTGTCCTGCACTAACTACTTTCAGATTATTTTTTCTGGTAGAAAATGAATCTATTTGTGTTATTTGTGTGTATGTATGTGTGTGTGTGTAAGCTACCACTATTTGGGGTTTGTTATTTATCACTGAATTTATTCTTCATTGGTATAAATCTGAGATTCCTGCATAAACCCAAGGATCTCAGATTCAGGTAAAGGGAGGCCTAGAATCAAATAATCCTCTTTTTGACATAAGAGAATGAATGCCTGAAAATTTATCGTTTTCATACTATGGTCTGGCATTCATGAGCTGGTAACCCATGAATACTTGAAAGCACAAGTCTTCTCTCCCCTGAATACCTATCATTATGCTGGTCATTCTTTGAAACCCCAGGTCAGGACAAAAACGTAAAGTGGTCCTTTCTACAAATGGATTCACAAATGGAAAAGTACATAAAAACGGCAATTAAGATGAAAAATAGGAACAGTTCAGAGGGAGATGGCCTGCTATGCATCTAATTGCAGATCCACATGAAATTAGAAAAACTGAGAAGAGGTCATTTTGAAAATATAGCAACAAGAATTTTCAGGAACCAATGGCATTGTGACTCTTCGGATTTAGCAAGTCCAGTGGATCCCACATACCACAAATAACTGGAATTCACTTCTAAACAAATCAAAGAAAATTACTGAACAATTAAGAACCTTAGAAACTTTCAAACAGATTACCTTACAGAGTAAAGACAATTACCCTGATAGCTCAATTCCAAAAAACAATTTTGGAATTAAGGAGACAGTGCAAACATACCTTAGTATTGCTAAAGAAAAATATTTGTTAAGTTAGAAGTGTGTATAAAGCTAAAGTATAAATCCAAGAGGTTGAAATAAAGACAATTCAGACAAACAGAAACTTACCAAAACAACTTCCAGTGGATGAACTTCAAGAAAGAAAAACATCGAGCTTAAAGGTAAATGGATAGCAAGAAAGAACAAGTAGGAAATACACTAACAAACAAGGGTAATTTCAACAAATATTGATTTTATTGAACAAATCCCTTCATATGTAATTTTTGCAATAAAACATGGAGGAAGTTAAATATTAAACAATAATGGTGGCTGGGCATGGTGGCTCACGCCTGTAATCTCAGCACTTTGGGACCCTGAGGCAGGTGGATCACTTAAGCCCAAGAGTTTGAGACCAGCCTGGCCAACATGGTGAAATCCCATCTCTACTAAAAATACAAAAAATTAGCGGGGTGTGGTTTCTAGGCACCTGTAATCCAACTACTAGGAAGGCTGAGGCATGAGAATAGCTTGAACCCAGGAGGCAGAGGTTGCTGTGAGCTGAAATTGCACCACTGCACTCCAGCCTGGGCAACAGAGTGATATTCCATCTCAAAACAAAACAAAACAAAACAAAACAAAACAAAACAACAAAACCCCAAACCAATAATAACATGTAAGATTAGGGTAGATAGTTATTAAAGTTAATATATCCTAATTTTCTTTAATTTTGACCTATTTGGGTAGATATATTGATTAACATACTATGTTAAGTGAAATATGAATGAAAATTCATTTGCAAGCATAAGATAGACAGTGTTTAATTCAAACAGTTACTAGGAAAAGTTCAATTTAAATTATAAGGAAGGAGAAGCATGTAAGCATATAAAAAGTGCCACTAATATTAAACAAAATAAGGTAATTCGAGTATATCCAAGTGCATCAGTAATCACAAGACATATAAATAAAATTAAACTGCTTTTTAAAATAGGAGATGGTCAAATTGGTCAAGAAAACAAAAGCAAACTATGTTTTCAATAGATGCATTTAAAACATAACTTCACAAGAATAAAGTTAGAAAATGATGAGGAAAATATCTGACAAAGTAATTAATGCCTTAATAACAGAAAATGGATATTTTTAGTTAAAAAATAATTATCATGGACAAAACAAGTCAGACCCTAATAGTAAATATTTCCATTCATGTGGAAAAATTTAAAATTCATAAATTTTGTGCATTTAGTACAATAAACATATAAATAAAATATTACATATGATTTAAATTTAACCTTTGAAAAATCGAGGTTAATGAAGAAATCATAAGAATTTGAGAAATATTTTATACTTAACAAAATTAAATATACTATATCAAAACACCTAGAAGAAGTGTATGTATAAACATATGTGTGTAAATCTAGCAAAAAATTTTGGAGCCGAGGGCGGTGGCTTACCTCTGTAATCCCAGCTTCTGGGGAGGCTGAGGAGCTGGGATCACTTGACACTAGGAGTTTTCGACCAGTCTAGGCAACATAGCCAGACTCTGTCTCTAAAAAAATAAAAATAAAAATGAATTTTCTGAGCATGGTTGCACACGCCTCTACTCCCAGCTGCTTGGGATGCTGAGGTGGGATAATCACTTCAGCCCATGAGTTCATGGCGGCAGTGAACTATGATTGTGCAAATGTACTCCACCCACAGAGTGACAGAGAGAGATATTGTCTCAAAAAAATAAGAAATTGTGGAAGACTTTTATAGAGAACCTGGAAAAATTCAACTGAAAACCATTAAATAAGTCAAAATTTAATGAAGATCTATGTTATATTCACAACAGGAAGACACAGTAACTTAAGCTAGTGATCATTTTCAAATTGATGCATAGATTTATTTCCAGTCAAAATTCCAACATTTTTCTAAACATATAAAACATGTTACTAAACATTTTTAAATACTTCTTAAGTGCTTAGAAAAATAATTTATGATTTAAAAACTAATTATGTTTTACCTGAAAGTAAGATTAAAAAGAAAACTTAAATAGAAGGGAAAATGATGAACTTACATGGTGGAGGAAGAACGTAAGCAGAATATATTCCAAATAATAGCTAATAGTATCCAGTATGTAATATACCATAGGCACTCAAATATTAATTGCTAATGATTACCTGAAAATTTCAGGATAATTTTAGATTCAGTTATTCTAAAATAGTTTTACTTAGTCATTAAATTTTTCAGTGGAAAGGGAAGAAAGGTATGTCTAATATGTCTTGAGATAAAACAGATTATTCTTTCCATTTTTCTTGTAAATGAAAAAGCATGTAATTTAAATAAAACTTTATTTTCTAATATGGTTTATAAATGTTGTATCTTCTAATTAAATATGCAAGCCATATTAGGCAGCTATATTATTGTAAGTACTTAGCACCTAATATTGAGAGAAACAACGAGATGAAGTTTGTTTAACATATATTCTTTTAAAATAACCTACATGAACTCAATCTTACTAGCAGGTGGGTACCTAGGAGGTCATAATAATAGTAATACTCAAATTTTCCTAAGATATTGCCCCACTGGCAGAGTGCAACCCTTCAGTCACCTAACAATGCCTGCCTTAGTTATTTTTGATAGTTGCTAAGAAAAACCTGTCCTAATGGAGTCAATTACCATTTCTTCTACTTTGGTACCTAAATTGACAATGGCCTCTCCCCCGTATCCTTTGTGCCAGTAATGTCTAGGGGAGTATTCACTCCATGGTTATCGTAAAGCCTCAAAATGACAAATGGACCTAACAGTTTACAGCAAAAGAGAACTATACTATGTCCCATAAGACATTGAGAAGAATGATCACTCTTTTACAGTGGATGCAAATTGGAAGGCTAAGGCAATAGTCCCATTGTCCTTTGGACCACAGTGGAGCCAAGAAGGTGAAGAGAAGTGAGTGGGTGCTAATATCTTTGTCCTTGAGTCTTACAAAGTTCTTTGTAAAAAGAGCACCCAGAGATAAAATTCATTGATTTTATTTTAGAAACAGGGACCAGATCACCACGTGTCCCCTCTTCTTAAAATTTGAACTTATTTTTGGCATAGTAATTGAGAACATTGAAAAATTATTATTAATCTAGCTAAGCTAATTATACTATATTCATATGGCTAAACCATGGATTTTTAATGATTAATATAAGTAAGATTACTATAAATTCCTTCTAAAGAATGAGGTGCCTAAGGCTCAAAAATTGAGGAGGCAGGATGCTCAGGATTCTGCAAGTACATGGGTGTCACCTGGGTGAGAATGTCTCCTTAAATTTAGAGTCCTTGTGCCAGGTTTGCTTCATGCTAGTCCTGACACTAAGTGTCATAATGGAATATATATTCAACAAACAGGTTGTTGTAAACCAGGCTGAGACAGCAGCTAATAAAAATAAAAGGATATTTGCAATCATTATTTTAAGTGAACTACACACCAACACTCTTCTAAGGCAAAGAAGGAAATAAAATAGAGTCATTTTCCAAATAACTTTATTTATATAAATGGTAAACCTGGAAAATGGAGGTTCCAAGCCTCTCATCTAATACAATTTATTTCTAGACATAAATATTTGGTTTATATTTTTATTTCTTGTGAAATTTAAAGTCAGGAAATGTTTAAATTAAGCAAAGGGAGTCTAGTCATTATAAGTGAGAGACACAGGCTTGTGCCAGTGGTTGGACATTCACATGCTTTCAACGGCCAAGCAGTCCTATAAATCAGCCCTGAAGGCTAGAGAGGGATTATAGAGAACTGCAGAAGTCATGCCTAGCCTAATGACACTCAACTTCAAAGTTTAAATACCGGGCTGGAAAACAAAATAGTTCTAGTGATCTCGTATTTTGATTTCCATGACTACTCTTTTGAAACCTGCCTAGAAGATATAGTATTAAATGTTTGTGTATTTTCTTAATTCAACCTCTCCTCCTCCACCTACACACATCAACCACAAAACAGCAATAAAAGCAAAAACAATAAAAACTCAGCCTTGCACCAGAGAACCTGAAATGATCCTAATTTGTGGCTTTTCTCCTGAAAGATGGAACATAGGAAGGTGTCATTGACAACTTAATGTGGTTTTTTCAGCAATACCCAGCCAGTCACCCAGAAGGGCCTTGAAGGAATGAGAAAAATCTGTAGTTATGTGGGTGTGAAGACAGGTAGAGTCCAGAGGCAGGCCCTAATGGGGTGCCACCAGAGTGTCACTAAGGTCTAGAACAGCAAGAGGATAAGGCCAATGGCTAACTGAAAGGAATTGTTTGGAAAAACAGAAAGGGAGACCAAGGAAGAAACATTTAGATGGTTCCTTAAATAGTCTTTATTCTTTTTTCTAGAACTGGTTCAATGCATGCAGCCTTACTGTCAAGAATTTCCTTTCTTGTTTCTGCAGTAACTATTTTTTCGTCAGAATAATTTGTCTGAAATAATACTAGTATGTCGCCATGCCTAACATAATTTTTGTAACTAATTAATTCCATTGCTTACTGGAGCACAATCAGCCTTGATGTAGTCATAACACTGTCTACAGGAAGGGCATGGATATTGTAGATATTTTTGTTTTTAAATGAATTGGTGATTAAAACATAAAAATAACCACACACATTTTTTTTTGTGCAAAACAAAACCTTTAATTCCTTTGTGTCAAGATCCATCACAAGAAACAAGCTGGCAGTGAGCACCAATAAAATGATCATTTCTGCCATGGGTCTTTTACTCAGTGGAGGAAGTGCGTTTCAGGGAGGATGCATTGAAAAGGCTTAATGCAATCATTTGAACATTTTGAAAGGGTTATGCAGAAATCAAACCACAATATCTTTCATCCCACCACCACTACCCTACATGCAGCATTTGGTAGCTTTAAATTCCTAATCTTCAGAGATCGTCAAAGATTGGATCCCATAAACTTCCTTCAGTAGCTCTTCTGAGCATTAATGCTCAGGCTGTGACTACATGTAGCGAAATTCAATAGAAAACTCATATTTATTCAGGAAATAAACCACTGTACATTGCCATGAATGCCAGTATCTCATTTGAAAATGTTCACTCTTAAAGTACTTGCGTCTTGATATCAACACTGTTATCTTATGAGAATGACTAGGGTTGTTCCTATATGAGAACAAGTACTGACTATCCTGTCACTTACTATGACTCAACGGTCCCATTGAAAACTTCATTCCTCATTGGTTCCCTGGAGGCCAGAATTTCAAATAGCCTTTATAACATTTACTAAGAAGTGAGAATTTCAGCACATTCTGCATCATGCAATAGAACTTCATTTGAACCATTCTTCAATGTAAATATCATGTGCTATTTTTTCTCAAAGTATTTTCTGATTCCAGTTTTTTCCCAAATTTCAGTAATTTATTCATCTTTTTTTCAAAAATATTCTTTCCAAATTTGTGATTTATAAGGAATTCAGCTTAATTTATTGCATGTTAGTGCTGAAATTGAGGCACTCATGTGTGTGTGCATGTTTATCAGAGATGTGACTGTCTACTTTAAGTGCTTAAATTTATTTGATGTCAATATGCCCAGTTGGTAAAAGAACTAGAATGAAAGATGAGAGACATTCGTGGATTTTTAATTTCATTTCTTAGAGTTAATAAATATGTGACATTGTTTTTGTTTTGTTGAATTGCTTACGTTTTTGGTTTCACTAGCAGAATTAGAGTTACTTTCCTACCCATTTTTATATTTACAGGAAGTTAAAATTAAACTGCATTAATTATTTTAATTTATTCATTAAGCTGAAATTCACTGCAAATTTTTTCCTTTTGTTTTGCATTTTGTAAATCATATGAATATTTTAATTTTTTATCTGGTCAATTTTAATTTCCCTTGTGTTTTCTTCTACAGCTTTGAAGTTTAGAATGTCATGTTCTTGCATATGTTGGATAAACATTAATGTATTTCATCTATTTTTATGTTAATTAATAATTTGAAATTTATTTTTGGAATATGGCATAATGTAAAGGTATAAATATATTTCTTCATAAATTGCTAATTAATAATTTCAACATTATTTACTGAATTATTCATCTCTTTTCCTTTAATTTGAAAAACTTCCTGTTATGCTTTAAATGTATCACCCATAAAGGATGTGTTGGAAACTGAATCCTCAATACGACAGTATTGGGAGGTGGGACCTAAAGAGAGCTGACTTGGTTTATGAGCGGTCTGCCCTCCTGAATGGATTCATGTGGATTCATGCTGTTATGCAGGGAGTGTTTTTCTTATTGCAGGAGTGGTTTTGTTGGAGCAAGTTTGCCCTCACCTCCACACACATAGGTGTACTATTTTCCTCTCTTGCTTTCTGCCATGAGATGACATAGCAAGAAGGCCCTCACAAGATGCCACCCTCTTGATCTTGGACTTCCTATTCTCCAGAATCATGAGAAATAAATTTATGTTTATAAGTTACTCAGTCTGTGACTCTGTTGTAGCAGTTCAAAATGGACTAAGATACTTCTCTCATAAATATTAAATATATGTAACAAGGTTACGTACAGCTTTCCCTGTGTTTTTGCCATGATTAGATGCCTGTTAGCTTTATGTTCCCTGCAACACACTGTACCTGGTTCCCTGTTCATCAGTGGTGCTGGTGATCACCCCATTTGTTGTTTCAGTTACTCACCCACCTTTAATAAAATAGGATAGTTTCAAGAAGAAAATAATTTTTAAATTGAAAAATCTGTTACTATTATGTGCTGAGTGATCTAATAAATGTGATTACAGCAGATAGCCAGAAAGACCAAATTCATTCTCTTGCCACTTATCTAGTGCAGAGCATTGAACTAGTATCAAGTTGATGAGCAGGAAGAAGGAGAAAGGCCAGTTGGTTTGGGAGATTATTACAGGGGCATATTTCTAAGAAGAAAATAATCAGAAAAAAAATCTACCAGAGGAAACAAATTTATGTGGGGACTTTAAGTAAGATAAGGTGTTGGCAAATTGAATAAGGGTATGTAGTGAAAATTAAACAACAAAAAATGCATGAAATAAGAAAAGGCACATTAAAAAATTTTTATATAATAGCCCTCATTGAAAAAAATATAGTGCTGTCAAGTTACTGGAATGTGTGAGGAAAATATATGATATCCCTCACTGGAAAATAATAAATAGCTATGAACTTACCAGAATGTGTGAGAAATTCCTCACAGATAGAAAATAAATGTGATCAGAACGACAGAGAACAAGCAAAAAAGGGAACCAATCACAGGTCTAAAAATGCACAGAACACTGCTATGGAGGTGGGAGTAGTTGCAGCAGCAATTGGAGGGAGACTGAGGACAATTGTCAGGATTACAGACTCAAGAGTAGCTGGGCAGATTGGCCTCACTCCCTATGCTGGACAGCTGGTGGAAACAGTGTTTGTTACTAGGCACAAGCAATGTCTGGAAATAGAAACAGAACAACGTTTTAAATAGCTACTGACTTCCAGGATCCACAGCATCCACAGCATCTGTGGACAGGTGAACAGCAATCCTCCAATAAAATAATGAGCAGTAAATTAAGGATCAAGAGGAAATTGAGGACACCTGGCACCATGAAATAATTCACCATACTCAACACAAGGCAACATTAGTAAAAAGAAAGTTATTACAGGAAAAAAAGGAAAACATTGGAAACTAAAATATAATGAATTACCAATTTCCTCAGAGGAAATTGGATGCATGATGGTGGAGTGAAAGAGGGTAAAGATAATAGAAAATAAAAATACTTTGAAAGGAAAAGAAATTTAAAATTTGATTATTAGACTGAAGTAGAGAAAGAGGGAAATCAGTAAGCAGAAAAAGAAGCCAAATGATTCCCCCAGAATTAAAAGCAAAAGGAGAATGGAAACTATGACAAAAAAAAATATTCAGAAGCAATGAGGATAGAAAAAAAAATCAAAAGCCTTTTAAATAGGCACTGCAGAAATCAGAGACATGAAAGAAAGCAAATAATCAAATAAAATGCAGAAATAATTATCAGAGCTTAAAACAAGAAAAACCTCTTTTGAAGAAAGATGAATAAAAACAAGCTCATATCTGGTGTTATCTCAATGAAATTTCAAAAGGCCAAGGGCAAATAGAAAAGTCTGAAAGGAAGACGTGATAGGACAAAAAGTATTACTTGTTTTTTTGTTTGTTTGTTTGTTTTTACCTTTCATCTCCACCTCATCATTAAGGATTTTGGCTTTGACTACTGTGGTAGGCAGAATAATGACCCTCCAAAGATGTCTGCCTCCTAACCCCCAATACTGTGAATCAGTTTCTTCGTAAGGCAAAAGATACTTTGTAGGTGTCATTTAATGTAGAATCTTGAGGTAGGAAGACTATGCTTAATAATCCAGGTGAGCCCAATATAATCACAAGGATCCTCATAAGGGAAAGAGAGAGGTAGAGAAGGGCATATGATAACAGAAGCAGAGGTTGGATATACGATTGCTGGCTTTTAATATGGAAGATGGTCATGAGCCAAAGAAGTTGACTAGCCTCCCGAAGCTGGAGAAGACAAGGAAGCAATACTTTCCTAGAGCCTCCAAAGGATTGCAGCCCTGCTAATTTATTTGTTTTAGCCCAGTTAGACTTCTGTCCCCCAGGAGTGTAAAACAATAAATGTGTGTTGTTTAAGCCACTAGGTTTAGGGAAACTTTTTATAGCAACGATAGGATACTAACACAAAATCTCAATGTCTACCTTTCCTCTGTTCTCACAGAGCTTGCTTTCTGCCTTTGAAGATTATCTGTTGGGCTTCCATGATAAATAGTCAAGAAAAGTGGAGGGAGGGTAAGAAAAAGCTTGTGGGATGCACCAAGCAAGGAATTTGGGGAAAAGTGGTGACAGCGTGTGTGAAAATTGCAAAGACAAGATGCGAGAGGAATGGAACAGAGTGAAAAAAGATGTAAGAGCATCAGGATTTTTTGAAGGGGTTTATCTTGTTTGGGATTCACTGAGCTTCCAGAATCTGTGAATTTATATGTTTCACCAATAGTGAGATGTTTTCAGCTATTATTTCTTTAAAATATTCCCCTAACACCACAATCTTTCTCCTCCCTTTCTGAAATTCCAATGTCATGGATGTGAGACATTTTGTTATTGTTGCACAGTCTCTGAAGATGTGTGTTATCTGTTTGTTTTCAGTTATTTTTCACTCTAATTCAAATTGGTTAATGTCTATTGATCTGTCTTCAAATTCACTGATACTTTGCTCTATTATTTCCATTCTTCTATTGTACTGAATATTTTTCCTTATTGTGCTTTTCTGTTATATAATTTCCATACTTCTTATATAGTTTGTTTTCTTACTGATGCTTCCAGTTGTTTTATCAATTTCAAGAGTGTTGTGTTTGCTTGTTGTGGCACCTGTATCTGCCTTAAAACCTTTGGTCAGATAATTCCAACATCTGTGTCATCTTAGTGTTGGCATCTGTTGCTTTTCCTTGTTAGTTATTTCTTGTATTTCACATATCCAGTCATTTTTAATTATATCCTGATCATTTTGAATATAAAGTTATAAAACTCAAAGTCTTGTTTGAGCCCTGGATTGCACATATAACATATGTATGACATACATCATATATCTGATATATAAATATATGTGTGTGTATATATATATATATATGTTGGTGTCTATGTTTTAATTGGAAGTTGACTCAGTTAAGTAGATAACATATTCCAATCCCCATTCTGTGGTTCCAATGCCATGTCAATTTTCAAAGACTTGCAGGTCTGTTTGAATCTATCCCATGAATGTAATAATTCTTTAGTTCAATTCTCAACATCTTTGATATGATGAATAGGATCAGAGTCACTCACGTGCAGCTGTGAGCAAATGTACAAATTCATAAACATCATTAGGCATGACTCACTATTGCTAGTTCCTTCCTTTCCACTGTCTCCATGGCACTTTCTAGTTCTTCCGGGTCTTGCCATAGGCCAGGAAGCAGGGGGTTTAATTATTGTACTCTGCTACACATGCTACATCTACACCTGTGCCTGGAGTCAAGTAAGGAAGAAGAGAAAGAAATAAAATGAAATGGTTTGCCTCATCCTCTTGGGGCTCTAATGGAGAGGCAGGTTCCCATCTCTTGCTCCCTATTTTAGCTCCAAAGGCTGTTGTTGCCACTGCCACCTCCTTGCCACTGCTACCTCCTTGAACACAGAATTGCTTGGGTGTGGAGGGGCTTGGGAGTTGATTATACACTCTCTCCAAGCATTAAGAGTATCTTGTCTAGCTCCTCAAGCCAGAACTGGAGGATTTTCCTGGAGCAGTTTTGCACCAGTATGATCACCGATGTGTGATCACTTAAGGGTGTTTGGTACTTCATTTCAGCCCAGGGATACCAGAGGAAATAAAAATGGTAAACTCACCATGGTTTGAGGCATACTTTGAATTCCTATCATCTTCTCAATCCTCCTGATTCATCCTTTGATGGTTGCTTCATGCATTCTGTCCAGGGTTTATAGCTATATTCTATAAGGTTATAGCTTGCGTTCTATCCAGGGTTTATAGACATAGTGGAAGAGGAAAGGTATGTTGTGCTTACTTCATCTGGAAGAACTCCAATTGTAATTTTTTTTTTTTTTTGAGATAGAGTCTCACTCTGTCTCCCAGGCTGGAGTGCAGTGGCGCGATCTCGGCTCACTGCAAGCTCTGCCTCCCAGGTTCACGCCTTTCTCCTGCCTCAGCCTCCCGAGTAGCTGGGACTACAGGCGCCCGCCACCACGCCCGGCTAATTTTTTTTTGTATTTTTAGTAGAGACGGGGTTTCACCGTGTTAGCCAGGATGGTCTCTATCTCCTGACCTCATGATCCACCAGCCTCGGCCTCCCAAAGTGCTGGAATTACAGGCGTGAGCCACCAATTGTCATGTTGAATGCTATGTGTAGCTTTGTTGAAACTCAATATCTGTTGGGACTGAAATAGGCAAGTCACACCTTCAATAGGATTGTTATCTGTGGGGGCAAGACTGTTGCATGCTTTTTACCCAAAGATGTATCCTCGACTAAATTATCTCTGTAGAGGTAAGCCAAAAGCCCAGTTTTATCAATACTGCTATGCAATTGGAACAATAGTGCAAATGATCAGGCCCTAATTTAATCTTTAAGCATAATGATATGGGAGTGATACCAGAAATCTAAAGATATAGCAAGGAAGTCACAGTTGTCAATTGTCTCTCTTTTCTATTGTGGGCATGCTGTCAGATAACACAACCTAGGGACAGTATATGTTTATTAAATTGAAAATGAGTGTCAAAAATAGGTTTCAGGAATAGAATTTTATCAGTTTCTTAAGAAGCTAGATTCATTTTTTGGATGATTATATAAGGATAATTAAAGAACAATCATACAATTTCAAAGGCTCTGCCAGTCCAAGAATGAATGCTATGGTCACAACTGAAGGATTTAGAACAACTTCAGGCTTTGGAAATTCTGGGCTAGACTATATCCTACAAGACCCTTAGAGATTCTTTTTTATTTTTTTAATTTTAATTACTTTTTTTCAAATAGAGACTAAGTCTCACTGTGTTGCCTAGGCTGGTCTCAAACTCCTGGTCTCAAGTGATCCTCCACCCTCAGCCTCCCAGTGCTAAGATTACAGGCATGAGTCACTGTAACCGGCCAAGACCTTTGTAGATTCTGTAAGAAAATATAGCACAGGATCCCAAGAGATGGACTCACCTGCAATTCCAACATCCCATGAGAATGGATAAATTGGAGATTGAGAAATCCTAGGAGTCAGAAATATAAGGGAGGGGTGTGTGTGCACGCACACACGCGTGTGTGTGTGAATCTATACAAGAAATTGGAATTATAGTTTCTCTTTTTTTTAACTTTTAAGTTCAGGGGTACAAATGTAGGTACATTACATAGGTAAATTTGTGTCATGGGGGGTTTTTGTACAGATTATTTCATCACTCACATATTAGGCCTAGTACCCATTAGTTATTTTTCCTGATCCTCTCATTCCTCCACCCTCCACCCTCTGAAAGGCTTCAGTGAGTGTTGTTCCCCTCTATGTGTTCACATGTTCTCATCACTTAACTCCCACTTGTAAGTGAGAATATGTGGTGTTTGGTTTTCTGTTCCTGTGTTAGCTTGCTAAGGATAATGGCCTCCAGCTCCATCCATGTGGGGACATGCAATAAACGTGATCTCATTCTTTTTTAAAGCTGCATAGTAATCCATGGTATATATGTACCATACTTTCTTTATCCAGTCTATCATAGATGGGCATTTAGATTGATTCCATATCTTTGTTATTGTGAATAGGACTGCAATGAACATGCACATGCATGTGTATTTATAATAGAATGATTTATATTCCTTTGGCTATATACCCAGTAATAGGATTGCTGGTCAAATGGTTCAGCTATTGTGGAACAGATAATGTGGCAATTCCTCAAAGACCTAAAGAGGAATTGCCACACTGTCTTTATTGCCACACTATCTCCCACTGTCTTTAGGTCTTTAGGTCTTTGAGGAATTGCCACACTATCTCCCACTGTCTTTAGGTCTTTGAGGAATTGCCACACTGTCTCCCAATGCCTTCAGGTCTTTGGGGAATTGCCACACTCTCTTCCACGATGGATGAACTAATATACACTCCCAACAACAGTGTATAAGCGTTCCTTTTTATCCACAATCTCACCAGCATCTGTTATTTTTTGATATTTTGGTAATAGCCCTTCTGTCTGGTGTGAAATGATATCCCATTGTGGTTTTGATTTGCATTTCTGTAATGATCAATGATATTGAGCTTTTATTCATATGCTTATTTTTCACATGTATGTCTTCTTTCAAAAAGCATCTGCTCATGTCCTTAGCCCACTTTTCTAATGGGGTCTTTGTTTTTTTCTTGTAAATTTGTTTAAGTTCTTTATAGATGCTGGATATTAGACCTTTGTGAGATAAATGGTTTGCAAAAATTTTCTCCCCTTCTGTGGGTTACCTGTTTACTCTGTTGATAGTTCCTTTAGCTATGCAGAAGCTCTTTAGTTTAATTAGAACCCATTTGTCAACTTTTGCTTTTGTTGCAATTGCTTTCACATCTTTGTCATGAAATCTTTGTGCATGCCTATGTCCTGAATGGTATTGTTTAGGTTGTCATCCAGAGATTTTATAGTTTTGGGTTTTAAATTTAAGTCTTTAACCCATCTTGAGTTAATTTTTGTGTATGGTATAAGGAAGGGGTTCAATTATAATCTTCTGCATATGGTTAGCCAGTTATTCCAGCACCATCTACTGAACAGAGAATCCTTTCCCATTATTTGTTTTGGTCAAGTTTTTTGAAGATCAGATAGTTGTAGGTGTGTGGTCTTATTTCTGTATTTTCTATTCTGTTTTATTGGTCTATGTGTCTGTTTTTGTTCCAGCACCATGCTGTTTTGGTTACTGTAGCCCTGTAGTATAGTTTAAAGTCAGGTAGCAAGATGCCTCCAGCTTTGTTCTCTTTGCTTAAGATTGCCTTGGCTCTTTGGACTCCTTTTTGGTTCCATATGAGTTTTAAAATAGCCTTCTCTAGTTCTGAGAATATCAGTGGTAGCTTAATAGGAATGGTATTGAATCTATAAATTGCTTTGGGTAGTATGGCCATTTTAACAATATTGAAACTTCCTATCCATGAGCATGGAATTTTTTTTTTAATTTGTCTGTGTCATCTCTGATTTCTTTGAGCAGTGGTTTGTAGTTCTTGTAGATATCTTTCACCTCCCTAGTTAGTTGTATTCACAGGTATTTTATTTTTTGTGACTGGGAAAGGCAAAAACTGGCAAGAGGACTGGGAAAGAAAAACTTGAAATTTTAGTCTTTTATAATGGACTCTTTTCAATAAAAATGTATTTTTCATTATAAAATAAAACATAAAGAGAAAACAATTTGAAAATAGATATTTGATTGAAAATACTTGTATATTACTAGGATTTTTTGATGGGTTTTCTTTTTCATCTTATTCCATGCGTTTACTGTCACAAAAATATTTATTCTGGAATTCTTTTTGGTATAATGTTTGTTTTCTTGTTATCCCTAAAATAAAATAAAATTGCATCCTATATACATTACTCTGAAAACTATTTTTATCACTTAGCTCTGTCTCAATAATATACCTTCATATTGATAGACATAGATACAATTGATTCAGGGGGTAATTCTAACATTTCTTAAATTATTTTATACCTAATGAATGTTAGAATTATTCCCTATTTCTAAGGAGATTTTTTATTAGTACTCATCTTTGACTTGTCACATGAAAACTATAAATTTTTTTTAAGAACTGTACTCAAAATACTTTAAAATGTTAAAATATTTGAATAACTGCATTTACATATCTTTAATATATCACCTGCACTATAATTAATTTCTCATTTTTCTTATATTTTCAGATCTTTACTTAATATAATATCAACCATATTATCACTCTCTATTAGTTTAAGTATATTCTGAAAATACAATATTGGTAATGGATTATGGAACAAGAAAAGCACAGCTTTTTGAAATGGGTTTTCTCACAAATTGTCAAATTAGTAATAGCTGTTTTTGCAATTTAAATTCTTTGTTTTCATATATTTTGGTGAGAAACATATAAATATGCATAATTTTGAAGATATTAGTAACCCATGTTATTGTGATCAGATTAAGCTACCTAGCTTTCAAGTTAACATAGCTGGGCCTAATTGTTGCTACCAACTTTGTGATTTACTACAATAAGCTAGGCCTCATCCAAAGTAATGCTGAACCACTGATCATCAAACTGAATATTTATCCCCAATTTAGTTAATTTATTCAGCAATCTTGAGAATTTCTGCTCTAAAAAGAAGTTTTATACTATATATATCTTTACAACTTAACGATTTATAATAATAAAAAAGCTTACTCAAAAATTACTTAAAACACTTATCCTCTTATTTCTGAAATTTAAAAAAGTTAACTCACAGGATTATTATCAAAATAAGATATTATTAAAGAACTATTATAAAGTGATATATCTTAAGATGCTTGATTCTAAGATAAATAATACTTTTTTCTAAATTTGAAATTGATGAGCCATAGCATATATGGTTTTTAACTGAATAATCTCCATTATTGCAAAATGGAAAAAATTGGAAAATTATGTGTATGATCAAATACACAGTAGACTTAAGTGAAGAAACAAAAAGTTATTTCAAGTATCCAGATACAATGCAATAATGAATATTTTACAGATTTTAAGCTTTAGAGTAATTTTCAAAAGAATTTAAAATTTGGAACTTTTCATTGCATTTGGCAAATGCAACAAAATATTCAAAGAAATTTAATAGTAAATATGTAAACAAATTTATATTGAACCTCTAGCCAACTTACATCATTGAATAGCTTATTTTTGGAATAAGTCTTCAAATTGTCTTTGAAAATAAAGTTTAACATTTATCCCATAAATCTTTATTTTTGTCTGCTTATTTTGCAATAAAATTTAAAATCTTCTCTAAAATTAGTTTATCATCATTCTATAGCTTATATAAAAACAAGTTACAGCTTCTTTATTGTGACCATAATTAAGTGAAAATAAAAGAAACTGAAATGCATCTAAAAAGAAATACAGATTATAACATAACAATGTATATTGCTAATGTTGTAGTTCAGTTTAATTTAAGGATCATTCATTTATATAAATAGACAACTAGAGATGATAATAAGGTATTATTTCCATAGAAAATCTATTCATAGCAATACACAATGCAAAATAGAAGCTGACTCTAATGGTGGCATACTATGTAATTCTCTTTTAATTGAAACCATTCAAATGAGGATGGCCCTGAAAAGGAACTTTTGAAGATATTGGTTGATGAACACGTTAGTTAGTGAACCCAGTTCACTCCAAGACTGCATAATCTGTAACTGTCTTGGTGAAAAAGAATAAGGTCAGTCTTTGCAATTATGATCCTTATTCTCCCATTCCCTATTGTGATGTGACTGAATCTCTATCATACTTTACTTAAAAATATCTTTAGGTAATTACAACAACAACAACATACTCAAATATTTAATATTTTGCATCAGCGTGTTAGTGGTTCCCAAGACCACTCCCAGTTATGTTGATTCACTAGGAAGACTCACAAGAATTAGCATACAGTTGTACCCTTAGCTATGATTTGTAAGCTTTATTGACATATAATTGATAGACATTTGATGAGTATAGACATATGCATACATTGTGCTGTGCCATCACCATGATCAAGGTAACAAATATATTTATCACCTCCCCAAATTTTCTTGTGTTCTTTTGTGTTTGTGTGTGTCTGTTAAGAACACTTATGATAAGATCTGTCTTTTGAATATGTATTACAGTGCACAATACTGTGTGTTAACCATATGTCCCATGTTGCACAACAGGTCTCTGGAACTCATGCAGGTCACTGTTGTTGGGAATGGAGTTTCCTCAAAAAATTAAAAATGGAACTACCATGTGACTCAGCAATCCCACTTCTAAGTATACATTCAAAAGAATTAAAATCAGGATTTCAAAGAGATATGTGCACTCCTATTTTCTTTGCAGCATTATTCACGATAGCTAAAATATAGAAACAACCTAAAATCCTATTGACTCCTAAATGAATAAAGAAAATCTGATACATACGTACAATGGAATTTTGCTCAGTCTCAGCAAAGAAGGAAATCTTACCATTTACCACACCGTGGGCAAACTTTGAAGACATTATATTAAGTGAAATAAGCCAGACACAGCTATGATGTATTACAGCAAAGAGAATAAAAGAATATCAACAAAAGAAAATGGAACATGGGGTGAAGTTTGGAGGAAACGAAGTGCAAGGTGCCAAAAGTCATTTCCTAGTACATAGACGTGACTAATTTTTCCAGCAATGAGTTGTGACAACTTGTGTGAAATGTCATCTACCAAGGAAGCACACTAGAAATTCAGCGCCCAGGGATTTTCTTCAGGGATGGGTTTGTGGGGATACCTCTCTCTATCATATATTAAGTTTCTAGCTTCCAAGTAGGAAAGCAGGTGTTCAATATAAATTATATTGTATGCACAAACTGTTTAGGAACATTGAGACACTTTATTCTTATTTAAAAATGCACAGAACTTTGACACATGTGGAAACACTCTTGAAATCCATGTTTTTAAGTGCCAACCAAGAGGCAGCAATGCAAGCAAGCCTTTCTAAGGATATTTTCAGGGTTGCTGTGTTAACTTTTTTCTGTGTAATATGATATAGTAATTAAATTTAATGGGGATTATGTTGGGAATATAATAAGTCAAAATTTTCTGTCTTACCATTTTTAAAATAATAGGATAATCTTACCAAATACTAGGCAAAACCAGAATAAAAATGAAGTTATGCTTGGGAATCAATAGAGGTAAATAAGGTAATATCATGAATATAGGGTCACATTAGAAAAAAAGGCTTTTACATTTTAGTATAATAATTATATTATGTCACTTAAACTATTTTAAATGTATTTTAAATATATCAGAAAGACTTTGCACAGTTTGAGAAATGCTAATATAAACAGTGACATTAAATACTCTGCATTCTATTTTTACAAAATTATTTGATAGAAGTACAAATGTGAGAAAAAAGTGTGACATTTCTCACGTGTCAGTTTTTGTATTTATTAAAATCCATTTATAATTTAAAAATGAATTGAGCAACTAAGGGAGGGTAACTGTAAGTTATTATCCATCTGGATATAGCTCACATACTTGCCATCAGGTCATTTTTGGCCTAAATTTATTTTCTGTTGACTCTGCTTCACTTCTCAGTGAAGGTGTTTGTTCATTGTTTCTTTGGTCTTATTTGATTATGAGATGTATGTGGTTGATGGTATTATTTGCAGACTCTGAAGACAAGTAGAAGGATGCTTTTCTGTGGAGAGTGATTCAATTTGATGTGCCCAGAGCCTAAATAACTTCAGATTTGGACCCCAACTATCCCCTGCCAACTCTTCATTTTGTATGTGAGTGCCAAGTTCAAGGTCTCCCTTACTAAGTGTGGGAAAAAGCCCCATGGCCCCAGAGCAATACTGACTGTATTTCTGTCCACATAACTGACTTCTGTTTGCTTTCACTGCTTGCCACTTAGGTTCAAGCTCATGCTTTTAATCTCTCTCTCTCTCTTTTGATTTGTAGTGTTTTTGATTATATCCTGCAGCCTAGAAATGAAGTATAATTTGCGTTTCATGCAGGTTTTAGGTAGCAGGAATGCCCCCAGAGAATTTAACCTACTCTGTTGATGGAAACAGTACTCCACAGCACTTTGATGCTTAATATTCAGTGAATTGTGGCTAATACTGTATCATGGAATTATAATACAAAGAAAGTTATTGTGGAAAAATAACATCCATTTATCACCTTCTCATTCCATAAACATTAACGGTGTTTACTGAGAGCCAAGCACGATACTCAGTACTGAGGCTTCAGAGGGGAAGAAGTAATAGTCCCTACTCTTAAGGATCAATGCATAGTGAAGGTACAGACCAACTTGTAAGTGAGTAAATTATAGTACAATGTCATATATACGAAATTAGGTGAAAACAGGATACATGAGTCCAACATGACGTTATGTTTTCATCAAATTCTCATATCCTATTCTATGAGCATCCTGAAAACTATCCTCCCCAAATTCTTGCAGTTGTCCAAGGTCATTTAAATATTAATCTGTCCAGTTAAATGTGGGCCAGATAGAAGTGGGCCACTCCGAGGTTAAAGCTGTAAAATCTGCTGTGCCATCCTCCAGTTTCTCTCTTCCTCTGCAGTGGCAATATGGAAGTCTCTTGTGGGGTCACAAGCTCAAAATAGCATGGGTGTCATATTGTGGAGCAGTGCCCTGGGCAATAACTGTGATTTACTGTGGGGTTTCTGAAAGTAGGCAAACCACTGAGATGTTACATTTGTTTATTAAATATAGCATAACGTGGACTATGCTACCAATAAAATATGGAGGGAGTACAGAAAATGGAATTGACTTTGTTTGGTAGGGGCCAGGAAGGATTTCTGGAAGAGTATTGACCACAGGTTGACATAGAGAAGACCAGGTGCAGACATTAAGGTGTGAAGATAATTAGAATATTGGGGAAACTATAAACAATTGTAAAGACAATTACTGTAGATGCAAGGAAAGAAAAGAATATTAAGAAGAAGCTGATCCTAGTAAAGAATATTCTATAACAATGTCTAAGAGTTTGGGGCTGCAAGTAATAGAAACAGACTCTAGCTAATTTAAGTTTTTTTTAAAAAAAAACAACTGGATAAGTGCTTAGGTGGAAAACAGGATCTAGAGAACCAAGCTTGGAGAACTGATGTAACCAAAAGATTCTGGTGCAGGAACCACTTCCAAGGTTGCCCAGCATAGGCAGTCTGACACCTCTCCCCCTACTTGGCAGCTTCCCCAAACATCCCTATTCTTCACCCTAGATTTTGAGGCTCCTGACACTGGATGATGCTTTGAGATAAATTGCACATTATTTTTAAATTTACTAAATATTTGCCCAGTGCTCAAAGCCTTTTCTAAAAGCGTTGTCTGAGCTTAAGTAACGTGCCCCTATTTGCTGCCAGGATACAGCATTTCACATAGGAGAAGGCAGGGTTTGGACATAGCGTAGACAAAACAATAACAACAACAACAGCAAAACCCACAAACCGTCCTCTAATAAGCCATGCAAGATTTGATCCCATCTTGTGTAATCTCTCTCCTTTCTCTCTGTATGACAAATACTGCAACATTCTTTTATTTCTTCAAACGAGGCCGACTCAAATCTACACACACTTCACTTACTGTTCCCTTTTCATGAACTTCTTTACCCGCCTTTTAATTTACCTTTTTAGTGACTCAGCTGTCACCTTGATAGGTCGATCTTT
Organism: Homo sapiens; assembly: GCF_000001405.40. Classification (NCBI taxonomy): domain Eukaryota; kingdom Metazoa; phylum Chordata; class Mammalia; order Primates; family Hominidae; genus Homo; species Homo sapiens. The sequence continues at coordinate 179,999,514 of NC_000004.12, read as the reverse complement.
CTTATAAATCCTGTATAATTTCACCTAAACTCCCTAGACAATCTATATCATATGATTCATTTATCAATTTATGGCCCTTGTTAATATTTAAAGTGACATTCATTTTGTTTGGTTATAGGATCATTATTTTTGCACCAGGAAACCCTGAGAAGGCAGATGTTTCTTTTTGAGTACGAGAATCCCAAAACCTTGAGCACCATGTGGTCCATATTCTGTGCTCTGTATGTACCCGTTGGATTAAAGATTGGGAAGTAGCAACTCTACTTAACATGAAAAGCTTCCTGATTATTTGATAGAAATAATTTTCGTGTAAGTCTAAAAAGCAGAGCCAAAAATGTAGTTTGAGGAATGTTTATGGTAATAAGAAAAACTAACATGAAATCACAAAAAGTAATGACTGACTATTATTTTTTCTACCCTGGAAAAATAGTTGCTGATCATCAAGCAGATGTACCTCACTTCATGAAGCAAATCTAGTTTAAATTACTTTTTTTTCTGCTGATTTCAAGGCTTTTTCCTCAAAGGTGCCAATTTTTATTATTTTAATGTCAATTTCCAAGCCTCAGTGAAATTCCTTATCTTAAAGTGGCACACTAGATTCCTGTGAAACTAAGAAAAGTTTGACTTAATAGAATAATTCTAACTCTTATTTTTTTATGTCCAAATCAGACAAATTTCTTTGAGAATTAAAATTTTATTATTTAATGATTTTAACTTGTGTTGCAATTTCCTGTCCCTTTTATGCTGTTCCATAATTTATGAAGGAGTTTCTTCTCCTTAAGAGAATCATCATTTCTACCTCACTGGAAGTCATCTTACCATTGAAAGGTGAATCTTAACATTGAAATAGGAAGCAATTGTTTCCTTTCTGGTGGTGTAAAATCAATGGCATGTTTTCAATTAATTATGCATTCAACTTGAATAAAAGCCACAGAATAATTGAATTACTTTGAAACAGAGATGAATTAAAGAGTGATTCAGTGAGTTTGTTCTTTGTTGTATGAAAAAAATGCATAATGTTTAAATATCAAGGAAAAAATTGCCGATATGTCAGGTCTCTGCTAGTACAGATGGCTACATGTAAACTGTTCATAGTTCCAGCATAGTAGCCAATGTCTTCTGGTAAAAAAAAAATAATTAAAAACCACATTATTTTTCAATACATATTCAGTTATTAATAGAATTTCTAAAAGCCAGTAATAAAGTAATGGTTTTAGACATATAATCTTGTTACCTGTATATGTTATTTTATCATATAAATGTACACCCTTAATTCTACCTAAAATAAATTTCTTAATTAGATATACAGTAATAGAGAAGGCTCAAATATAAGGAAAGACATCCCTTATCCATAGATTGGAACATTTAATATTACTAAGGTGTGAAAACAATTTAAAGTACAAGTAAAATGCAATCCCTACCAAAGTTTCAACAACTCTTTTTTTTGGATAATATTAAGAGCAAATTCTCAAATTTATGTGATATTGTAAGGGAGTTCAAATAGCCAAAATGACATAGAAAACCACAAAGGTGAAGGACTCACAGTTTTTTATTTCAAAACTACAATAAAGCTACAGTAATTGAAACAGTGTGGTGTGGGCATAAACATAAACATAGAGACTAATGGAATAGAACTGAGAATCCAGAACTAAAACCAAACATCTTTGTTTAATTGATTTTCAAAAAAAGAGCCAATACCATTCAAGAGGAAAAAACTGTCTCTTCAACAAATGATGCAGGGACTAGTGTATTTCTGCAAGCAAAAGAGTAAGTTGAACTGCGTTTATGTCATACCATGTAAAAAAAATAACTTAAAATAGATCAAAGGCCTAAATATAAGAGTGGGAACCATGAAACTATTCATGGGGATAAAGAATAAAACATGGGGATAAATCTTCATGAATATCTATTTGGCAATAAAATCTGAGCTGTGACACCAAAAGCATGAACAAGAGAAAAATTTGACTTTATGAAAATTAACTTTAAAAATTTTGTTTCATGAGCAGCAAAAGAAAAACTGACTATCAAAATTAACAAATTTTTTTTTTGCACTCCAGAACATGGAAAATAATCTTAATGAGTCACAAGAAACATAAGATTGAAGCAACTCATAATATCACAGAAGAAGGTAAGATAACAAGAAACACAAGAAACCTAGATACATTCCACATTTGTATTATTAATATTGTATATGTAGTGGGATGGTATCTTACCGTGAAGGTTCTGAAGCCAGCATGTTGGTGAACTTGACATGTAGTCAAATTTACCTTCTAAAATCCTCTCTTTATTTTCCTGAAAATACAATATGCATGATGTACATGGCTGTATATCTGAAAATGCATTTTTTAAAACAATAGTATTCCATGCAGCAAAGTGAGGTACTCACAATATGAGAGGTGTGTGGTTATAAGGGCCTGGAGAAGGGACTCTCAATCTTTAGTGGGCATCAGAATCTCCTGGAAAGCTGGTTGGGCCCAGCCACTCTGATTCAGTAGGCTGGAGGTATAACCTGAGATCTTACATTTCTAACAGGGTCCTAGGCGATGCTAATGCTGTTGGTCCAGGGACCACACTTTCAGAACAGTGACCTAGATACCAGCATGTTGAAACACCCTGAGGATCTGCACTTGGTGCGGAGATTCAGTTACTGCTTGCTTACCTAGTCTCCTGTCCCCCTGTTCCATCTCCTGGAAAACACCCATATTTTCCTTAATGAATTTCACATTTTCTCTATTTAGAGCCCTGAGATTTTGGTGGTATTAATGCTCCTCCAAATTCTGAGGTTTAGTAGAGGTTAGCATAAGCCCATCAGTGCCATCTCTTCCTCCTCCTATAGCGTCTGAAAGGGAGAAGTACAGTGGGAAGCCTGCAATTAATCAGCACATACTATTCTGCATGGCAGTAATTGTCTTAGATTTGTCCACTCGTAAAGAAAATCAGGAATTTAATTCGGTGACTGATTGGCGAGAAACAATCTCCCCTTTGTATATAAATAAGGGACCACATAGTTGTGCTTGCTCCTGGATATAATTTAGAAATAATGAGGGAAGACAAAGCCAACAGAGGAATATCCGCACTGGAAGAATCACCAAGAACCAGAGACAGGGTCCAGGCAAATGCTAGCAATATCGTTTCATGAACCAACAAATTCCTTTTCTACCATAGGTTATTTTTTAATTTTAAAATATGTTGAAACACTGGTGTCCCAGCCCCTAAACTAAACATCATCTTAGTGTTTTGCAGCATCTGCTGTAGAATATTTGAAAGACACAAATATAAAAGATAAATCGATGCCTTCTGCCTAATCTGATTCCTTTTTTTATTAAAATTTTTTTTTGTCAGTACATAGTAGGTGTATAATAATTCCATTTGTTTCTTTCCAGATGTAACCACTATTTTAATTAATTAATTTATTTATTTTGAGGTGCAGTCTCGCTCTGTCGCCCAGGCTGCAGTGCAGTGGTGTGATCTCGGCTCACCGCAACCTGCGTCCGCCTCCTGTGTTCAAGCTATTCTCCTGCCTCAGCCTCCTAAGTAGCTGGGACTACAGGTGCACGCTACCACACCCGACTGTTTTTTGTATTTTTAGTAGATATGGGGTTTCAGCATGTTGGCCAGGCTGGTCTCAAACTCCTGACCTCAAGTGATACACCCCCTCGGCCCCCGAAGTGCTGGGATTACAGGCAAGAGCCACTGCTCCCAGCCCATAACCACTATTTTGAATGTGCAGTTTTGTATCTGCATATATGTTTTTCAAAAATAATCTCATCACATATTTATGAATTGATAAATCATATATTATTTTGGTAGGTGTTACATCTTAAAAAGAAGACAACATACTGTATATTTCTTTGCAGTCATCTATTTGATTGACATGTGTAGCTCTAGTTTATTCACCAAATGCTAAAGGATTATACTGTATAAAATCCTCTATTTTATTAATTCACTTGTTGTTGGGCATCGAGTTTGTTTGCAAATACTTATTAGTAACAAGCAATTCTGCAGTGAGAATTCCAAGTACACATCTCTTGTGTGTACTTGGTAACGTTTTCTAACCAGTGTGCCATGACTTGGTTACAGCCTTCGGTATTATTCACTCAACCCTATGGCTAGTATTTAATAGTACTGGTTTCCTCTTGTGATTAGCAGCCTCATTCGTTTATACACAATGCCATTTTGAATGCATGTCATCATATGACAAGTATTTAAAGCGGCAGATCTAGAATACATATCTAGATGTAGATTTGGGGAATTTTCAAATGTGTTCCCCCTTCCTGGAGCTGGCTGCAATGTTGCATCTGGAGCACCGCACCTAACTCACTTCTGGAGATCAGCTTCTACCAGAACTTTCTGTACCAGAGCTATGTGATGCCTGGTAATCATTCACTGGCAGTATAGATACCTCTACCATTGTTCAATTTTTCTACACTTAATAGTGAATTCAGGTCCCACAGGAGTGCATTTAATTGCAGATGCAGAATTAGATATGAAACCCTATATATGTTTTTAGCTTTCCAGTCTGTGTAGCGAAAGACAACACACAGGAGATAATTTGAGTAAGACAGTTTACCATATTCACCATCATTTTGGATTGCATATTTTCAAATTTATATAAATGGAAACAATTTTTATTCCTTTTACTGAAACATGATTTCATCCAATATTTGTTGGGTCCTATTTGTTCATATCTAAGATATAATGAAGATATAATCAATCTATAGTTTCCTATCTATTTTAATCTTTGATGAAAATTTAGGGTTTTTTCTAATTTTTTTCATTGTTGTGAACATATTTTAATATGGTTTGTTTGGTTATGTAAAAATTTCTTTAGGATAAGTGATTAGAAGTAAAATATCTTGGTAGAAAATTCTACATCTTCAACTTTCCGAGATTTTGGCAAATTGTTCCCCAGCGAGTCATGCAGATTTCCAGTAGTGTATCTGAGGTTTCCTTCATCCTTGCCATTGCTAACATTTGATATTGGTTTTAATATATGAAATTAAAATTAGTATGAAAATGTATCTTCCTGCACTAACATTTACTCCCTGATTAAAACTGAGGCATTAGTGTACTTCCATAGGTTTACTAACCATTTGTGTATGTTTCCGTGGATAGCTTGTTCATGTCTTTTGAAAATTCTTTCTATTTCACTGTTTGTTTCTTATTGATATAGGTTTTACTTATAATTTTCTATCTCAGGTATATGAAAAAATTCTTCTACTTTTTCACATTTTGAAATTTTCATTTAAAAAATATTGACTTTAGCCAATCAGGATATACTTTTCAGATGATAGGAAATACGGATTATATTAAAAAGTTTCTGTCAAAAAATTCACTATTCTGAACATAACGCTAATTTGTATATATAATACTAACATATACATATATATGTGTGTGTATATATATATATATATATATACGATATGCTTCTGTTTCAGAACTCTGTATTCTGTAGCTTTTAGACAACCTATCTATTCATTCATTAATACTAGAAAGTATATGTTATTATATCTTGTTAATAAACCTTGATTTTTTCTTGGCCAACTTTCCCACTTTCTGCTTTTAGTTCAGGAGTGCAATGGAAATGTTCTTTAGTTGCATGCACATACACACACACATTAACACCACCACCCCCCACCACCAACAATACAACTACCACCAACAGCACAAAAATTGGAATTGCACCAAATTGAACTTATAGATTAATATGGAAAATTTTAACATTGTAATATGTATATTCTTTAAGTTTTTGTAATGGCTCAATTTGTTCCATAAATTTTTCCATAAATATAGTATATGTTATTTTATATCTGCAAGTATATATGTGTGTGTGCATAACCCTAAGTTGTTTGTTTTTCGGAATTCTATTTTCTACCTTCTAACTTTCATTGTTGTTTTTTAAGAAACATGCTGTTTGTTTTTATCCTCACTGTGTAGGGAATATCTTTTCTTTCTGCTGTTTAAGATTTACTCTCTGTATTAGCCTGTTCTTACGCTACTATAAAGAACTGCCTAAGACTGGGTAATTTAAAAAGGAAAAAGGTTTAATTGACTCACAGTTTCACATGGCTGGGGAGGCCTCAGGAAACTTACAATCATGACAGAAGGGGAGGCAAAACATGTCCTTCACATGATGGCAGGAAGGAGAAGTGCTGAGCAAAGGGGGAAAAGCCCCTGATAAAACCATCAGATCTCGTGCGGACACACTCACCATCATGAGAACAGCATAAGGGTAACCAACCCCATGATTCAATTACCTCCCACCAGGTCCCTCCCATGACATGTGGGGATTATGGGAATTATAATTGAAGATGAGATTTGTCTGGGAACACAGCCAAACCATATCAATTTCTCTCCTTGGGGTTCAGTAATTTTAGCCTGATAAATCTACTGATGGGTATCTTTATCTTTAACTGGCTTGAGATTTGTTGTGATTCCCGAATCTGAGAATTTAGATTTTCTTTCACAATTATTGACACATTCTCAGCCAATATATGTTTTTCTATTGTTTGCCTCTTATCTATTCTCTAACTCTACAGCTTTAGTTGGAAGTTTATTTATTCTCATAGTAACCTCAATAACCCTTTTTTGTGGGTGCTGTTTGGGCAATGATTTTTTAAAATTATTTCAATAGTTATTGGGGAACACGTGGATTTTGGCTACATGGAAAAGTTCTTCAGTGATGATTTTTGAGATTTTGAGGTACCCATCACCTGAGCAGTGTCCACTTTACCAATGTATAGTCTTATATCCCTTACCCCACTCCCGTCCTTGTCCTGAGTCCCCAAAGTCAATTATATCATTTTTATGCCTTTGCATTCTCATAGTTTAGCTCCCACTTTCAAGTGGGAACATACAATATTTGATTTTCCATTCCTGAGTTACTTCACTCAGAATAATGGTCTCCAACTCTATTCAAGTTGCTGCAAAGGCCATTATTTCATTTCTTTTTATAGCTGAGTATTATTCCATGGTGTATATATACACCACATTTTCTTTATCCAGTCATTGTTTGATGGGCATTTAGGCTGGTTTCATATTTTTGCAATTGTGAATTGTGCTGCTATAAATATGCGTGTGCAAGTGCCTTTTTCATATAATGACTTCTTTTCCTTTGGTAAGGTACCCAGTTGTGGGCTTGCTGGATGGAATGGTAGTTCTACTTTTAGTTTTTTAAGGAATCGCCATATGGTTTTCCATAGTAGTTATACCAGTTCACATTCCCAACCAACAGTGTAAAAGTGTTCCTTTTTCAGCACATCCATGCCAACATCTCTCTTTTTTTATTTTTTAATTGTGACAATTCTTACAGGAGTAAGGTGGTATCTTATTGCGGTTTTAGTTTGAAATCCCCTGATCATTAGTAATGTTGAGAATTTTTTCATGTGTTTGTTGGCCATTTGTGTATTTTCTTTTGTAACCTCAGTAAATCTTAATCTTGTTTATATTTTCAAACATTTATCCCTCTGTTTTGCATTCGGGTCTATTTCACTTTTAGTAATTCTCACTTCTGTTTAGTTGAATCTAGCTGTAAGTCTATTTTTATTTTTATTTTTTCATTTTTTAACTTGTAAGTTCAAGGGCACCTGTGCAAGTTTTTTATTTAGGTAAAGTCATGTCACAGGGGTTTGTTGTACAGATTATTTCCTCACCCTGGTATTAAGCCTAGTACCATTAGTATTTTTCCTGATCCTCTCCCTCCTCCCAACCTCCACCCTCTGGTAGACCCAGTATGTGTCCATGTGTTCTCATCATTTAGCTCCTACTTGTAAGTGAGAACATGCAGCATTTGGTTTTCTGTTCCTGTGTTACTTTGCTAAGGATAACAGCCTCCAGCTCCATCCATGTTTCTGCAAATGACATGATGTTGTTCTTTTTAATGGCTGCATAGTATTCCACAGTGTGTCTGTACCACATTTATCTCTATTTTTAAGTTCCTTGATTACATTTTTTGTTTGGGAAAGTTGTACTTTGCTCTTTATCATTTTCTTCCTGTCATTGCTGATGGCATCTTTTCCTTTTTTACGTTTTATATCTCTTCTCATCTATTTTAATATTTTAGGAATATTTTCTACTTATAAGTATTAGAAAATTACATTATGTGAATTTAGGTGGTACTGATAATTCTAGGAATGATTCTGGTAACACTGAAACAAAGGACTTTTGTTCTTGTATACTTTCTACTTTTGAAGTGACAGTTTATACTTAATAGGACTTTACATGTGGCATTTCTGGACGAGTCCCACCAGAGAAGCATCAAATTAGTCTCTGCCAAGATATTCAGGACATTACCGACCTGTGACAGATTTATGTAAATTTCTAGACTTAGAGTAATTTAAAACCACACAGATAGGATATTATAAATTTGAACCCCAAATCTTAGATGTTAAGTATGAAATGTATTCAGCAACTTAATTTTTCCATTGTCTTAGTAGGAGGTATTATTATATATTCAGGAGCCTTAGAGAGGTTAAGTAACTTATCTAAAATAACACAGTTGATAAATGATTAAATTGGAAGGTAAGCATGGGCAGTCCAATGTTGAAGTTTATAGTTTTAACTGCCATAATATTGGTATTTAATAAAATATTTTAATCCATTAGTTCCATTAATCATAGTACCTATGCAATTACTATGTGATTTTTACGAAAACATTCATGTTTTGTTTGGGGGGAATAATATATGAATATACACTTTAGCTATATAAATGTCAAGAGCAATTTACTTATAACATGAAAAAGGAAATATTGTTTGAGCAAAATATGTTTGTGCTTATCCACTCCCTTTTTAACATTTTGCATTTATATAATCCAATGTATTCTTCATCTTGATCTTTGGGATACTATGAAATATGAAAATGCCCTTACATTTTAAGTTAAAACTTCCATTTTTCCATGATTTACCCAGTTTATCTATAATTTCACTAGGACCTTTATTTGACATGAAGAAATGTTAAAGCAAATAAACCTTGAATAAATTCAAATGATTACATTATCAGTAATGCCATACTTTTTTAATGTATAAAAATACATCATTACGGTGAATGCAAATAGCTTACTTCAGTCTACTGTATACAAATAAATGCAGAGTAAATAACACAGCATACACACAGATAGAAGTAGACTATAAGTTGTATAAATAACCAGAAGCCTAGAGACATGTCTTCAAATGATATACTACAAAACAAGAGTTACACTTGAGTAGTCAAATAGCTCTTGTACTTCATACTAGAAGCCCTGACTTAAAAGGCAGTGCACACGTGAGCAAACCAAGCGGAGTTCTTCTGAAAGAGGATAGGGCACTAGAGCGTAAACCACAACATCTTGAGGACACTCCTTAAATAGCAGCAGGATTACGGAACTTAAAATGAAATTGAAAGAAAATAACTGCACAAAAAGTAGGCTTCAATATGTACATGAAGCTGAAAATGGAGAAAAGGAGACATTGCTCACAGAGAAAGGATGGCACAGGTTTAACACATCACATTACCTAAGTGGTAACCAATAACACTTATTTTTTCAATTATTATACATGAAGGTTAGCCCATATTTTCTACATGCATAATAAGAATAGTTATTGTTAAAAATGTATCATAAAATAGCTAAGAAGAAAATGGAAGATCAAAGGTGAAAGATTCTCTCAGCATCACAGGAAATGTTCCTCATTTGATATTGTCCATATTTATTTCATAAGAAAATTTGTTCTTATAGTTATTAACAATATCTTAACTGTACCTGTGTCATGGGGGCCTCTAAAAAAGATAGGATCCATTTCTGATTGAAGACTCCTTTATTCTAACTTGAATATTGGGATTAACTTTCTGGTATTTTCATTTGAAAACTTTGAAATTAAATATACATTCAGTTTAATATGAAATAAATGGCATATTATCATAGATCAAAAATTTCTTGTAAAATTGGGAGATATTTTGTTTTTCCAAGTTTCAACAGCTCTATGAGATGATATATTTAGATGAGGTAAAAAGAGAATTAAATATGAATTTCCTTGATATTAGATTAATAATTTTGAATTGGGACAGTGAAAGTTTAGGTTAGCTATTAATTTATTAATTCTAGAAGTATTTATTAAACCCCAGATACCATTTCCTGGAGATAAAAAAATAAATAGGGTTAGTCATTTTCCTCAAATGTTCACAAGCAAATAGGCATGGAAAGCCAAAATAGTTTATTTATAATACAACTTACAGTTGCTATAATAGAGATAAATTTGAGTGTACAGAAAAATAATTGCATATTTCTAACTGTACAGTTTTTTACTACCAGACCTTGCTTATTTTCTTCATGAAATTTTTCAAAACATTGTATTAAATATTTTGTTGTTCACTTGTCTTTCCATTTAGATTTTAGTCTATAATATTATTCAGTGGATAATAATAATGTTCAATTAACATATAAAACACAAGATATGTTTTTAATACTACATTCACTTACCTGGTTCTGAGATCAAGCACAAGGTTTCTGATTACTTAAAGCAATCAAGTTGTAGGTTTCTGAAGCCACACCTTCTCCTTCATGGCAATGTGATAGGAGCCAGGTGGTCATGCCAGTGGAGTCTGTACCATAGGAGAAACACCCTGAAATTATGGATCTGGGGGCTTATGTAGGAGTCACAACACAGCTACCACCCTCTCCTCTGGATCTCTCCAAAAAGATAAGGGAAGGTATCTGGTTACAACCCTTTGGAATGTAGACACATAACGGCAGAAATAAATCTCTGTATAATTCTGGACTTCTCTATCTATTCAAACACCCTTTAACATCCAAGGATTGTCATGTAACCCCGGGTTCCAGTAATTTTTCCTCAGAAACCTCTGACCATACAAAAACTGAAAGATATTCATATTGCTTCTCAACACTAAGGGAGTAAAAGACAGTGACATACAGAATCATTTAAAGGTATGTGGTCATGAACTAACCCAAATTTTTTCCATTCTTCCCTGTTTGATCCTACTGCTTGAAATATCACCAACGAATGTCATTTATTTAGACTGTTTTGCCTGCGACTTGACTTATACTTAAAAGATTAAAATAAAAACGACAAAGTAGAAAATTCTTTTCTTAAATAATGTTGAATATTGGCCCCCACTCTCTTCTGGCTTGTAGAGTTTCTGCCGAGAGATCTGCTGTTAGTCTGCTGGGCTTCCCTTTGTGGGTAATGCGACCTTTCTCTCTGGCTGCCCTTAACATTTTTTCCTTCATTTCAACTTTGGTGAATCTGACAATTATGTGTCTTGCAGTTGCTCTTCTCGAGGAGTATCTTTGTGGCGTTCTCTGTATTTCCTGAATTTGAATGTTGGCCTGCCTTGCTTGCTAGGTTGGGGAAGTTCTCCTGGATAATATGCTGAAGAGTGTTTTCCAACTTGGTTCCATTCTCCCCGTCACTTTTAGGTACACCAGTCAGATGTAGATTTGGTCTTTTCACATAGTCCCATATTTCTTGGAGGCTTTGTTCATTTTTTTTTTACTCTTTTTTCTCTAAACTTCTCTTCTCGCTTCATTTCATTCATTTGATCTTCAATCACTGATACCCTTTCTTTTACTTGATCGAATCAGCTAGTGAAGCTTGTGCATGCTTCACATAGTTCTCGTGTCATGGTTTTCAGCTCCATCAGGTCATTTAAGTTCTTCTCTACGCTGTTTATTGTAGTTGGCCATTCGTCTAATCTTTTTTCAAGGTTTTTGGCTTCTTTGCGATGGGTTCGAACATCCTCCTTTAGCTCAGAGAAGTTTGTTATTACCGATCATCTGAAGCCTTCTTCTCTCACCTCGTCAAAGTCATTCTCCATCCAGCTTTGTTCCATTGCTGGTGAGGAGCTGTGTTCTTTGGAGGAGAAGAGGCACTCTGATTTTTAGAATTTTCAGCTTTGGCCGGGTGTGGTGGCTCATGCCTGTAATCACAGCACTTTGGGAAGCTGAGGTGGGCAGATTATGAGGTCAGGAGATCGAGATAATCCTGGCTAACACAGTGAAACCCCGTCTCTATTAAAAATACAAAAAATTAGCTGAGCATGGCAGTGGGTGCCTGTAGTCCCAGCTACTCGGGAGGCTGAGGCGGGAGAATGGCGTGAACCCGGGAGGTGGAGCTTGCAGTGAGATGAGATCGCGCCACTGCACTCCAGCCTCAGTGACAGAGCGAGACTCCGGCTCAAAAAAAAAAAAAAAAAAAAAAAAGAAAGAAAAGAAAAGAATTTTCAGCTTGTCTGCTCTGGTTTCTCCCCATCTTTGTGGTTTTATCTACCTTTGGTCTTTGATGATGGTGACGTACCAAACTGTCTCTCAGACCACAGTGCAATCAAACCAGAACTCGGGATTAAGAAACTCACTCAAAACTGCTCAACTACATGGAAACTGAACAACCTGCTCCTGAATGACTACTGGGTACATAACGAAATGAAGGCAGAAATGAAGATATTCTTTGAAACCAATGAGAACAAAGACACAATACACCAGAAACTCTGGGTCACATTTACAGCAGTGTGTAGAGGGAAATTTATAGCACTAAATGCCCACAAGAGAAAATAGGAAAGATCTAAAATTGACACCCTAACATTACAATGAAAAGAACTAGAGAAGCAAGAGCAAACACATTCAAAAGCTAGCAGAAGGCAAGAAATAACTAAGATCAGAGCAGAGCTGAAGGAGATAGAATCACAAAAAACCCTTCAAAAAATCAATGAATCCAGGAGCTGGTTTTTTGAAAAGATCAACAAAATTGACAGACTGCTAGCAAGACTAATAAAGAAGAAAAGAGAGAAGAATCAAATAGACGCAATAAAAAATGATCAAGGGGATGTCACCACCGATCCCACAGAAATACAAACTACCTTCGGAGAATACTATAAACATTTCTATGCAAATAAACTAGAAAATCTAGAAGAAATGGATAAATTCCTGGACACATACACCCTCCCAAGACTAAACCAGGAAGAAGTTGAATCCCTGAATAGACCAATAACAGGTTCTGAAATTGAGACAATAATTAATAGCCTACCAACCAAAAAAAGTCCAGGACCAGACGGATTCACAGCTGAATTCTACCAGAGGTACAAAGAGGAGCTGGCACCATTCCTTCTGAAACTATTCCAATCAACAGAAAAAGAGGGAATCCTCCCGAACTCATTTTATGAGGCCAACATCATCCTGATACCAAAGCCTGGCAGAGACACACACACAAAAAAGAGAATTTTAGACCAATATCCCTGATGAACATCAATGCAAAAATCCTTAATAAAATAATGGCAAACAGAATCCAGCAGCACATCAAAAAGCTTATCCACCACGATCAAGTGGGCTTCATCCCTGGGATGCAAGGCTGGTTCAACATACACAAATCAATAAACTTAATCCAGCATGTAAACTGAACCAACGGCAAAAACCATATGATTATCTCAATAGATGCAGATAAGGCCTTCAACAAAATTCAACAGCCATTCATTCTAAAAACTCTCAATAAACTAGGTATTGATGGGATGTATCTCAAAATAATAAGAGCTGTTTATGACAAACCCACAGCCAATATCATACTGAATGGGCAAAAACTGGAAGCATTCCCTTTGACAACTGGCACAAGACAGGGATGCCCTCCCTCACCACTCCTATTCAACATAGTGTTGGAAGTTCTGGCCAGGGCAATCAGGAGGAGAAAGAAATAAAAGGTATTCAATTATGAAAAAAGGAAGTCAAATTGTCCCTGTTTGCAGATGATATGATTGTATATTTAGAAAACCCCATCGTCTCAGCCCAAAATCTCCTTAAGCTGATAAGCAAATTCAGCAAAGTCTCAGGATACAAAATCAATGTGCAAAAATCACAAGCATTCCTATACACCAATAACAGGCAAACAGAGCCAAATCATGAGTGAACTCCCATTCACAATTGCTTCAAAGAAAATAAAATACCTAGGAATCCAGCAAGGGATGTGAAGGACCTCTTCAAGGGGAACGACAAACCATTGCTTAATGAAATGAAAGATGACACAAACAAATGGAAGACCATTCCATGCTCATGGATAGGAATAATCAATATCGGGAAAATGGCCATACTGCCCAAGGTAATTTATAGATTCAGTGCCATCCCCATCAAGCTACCAATGACTTTCTTCACAGAATTGGAAAAAAACTACTTTAAAGTTCATATGGAACCAAAAAAAAGCCCACATTGCCAAGTCAATCCTAAGCCAAAAGAACAAAGCTGGAGGCATCACACTACCTGACTTCAAACTATGCTACAAGGCTACAGTAACCAAAACAGCATGGTACTGGTACTAAAACAGAGATATAGACCAATGGAACAGAACAGAGCCCTCAGAAATAATACCACACATCTACAACCATCTGATCTTTGACAAACCTGACAAAAACAAGCAATGGGGAAAGGATTCCCTATTTAATAAATGGTGCTGGGAAAACTGGCTAGCCATATGTAGAAAGCTGAAACTGAATCCCTTCTTTACGTCTTCTACAGAAATTAATTCAAGATGGATTAAAGACTTACATGTTAGACCTAAAACCATAAAAACCCTAGAAGAAAACCTAGGCAATACCATTCAGGACATAGGCATGGCAAGGACTTCATGACTAAAACACCGAAAACAATGGCAACAAAAGCCAAAATTGACAAATGGGATCTAATTAAACTAAAGAGCTTCTGCAAAGCAAAAGAAACTACCATCAGAGTGAACAGGCAACCTACAGAATGGGAGAAAATTTTTGCAATCTACCTATCTGACAAAGAGCTAATATCCGGAATCTATAAAGAACTTAAACAAATTTACATCACTGATTCATCAGCAACAATACACCTAAGCACATAGAGAATTGCATTTTAAATAAACATAAACATAATAAAATATTTGCTATAACTATTTGAAGTTACATATTCACAGTTAAGAAGTATTATACTTCAAGCGAGAATACCTCAGCCTATGAGACCTTAAGCGGAGGAAACAGCTAACTTGTGCCTAGGCCTCTGACATTCAGAACTGAAACTAATAAATAGATGTTGTTTTAAGTTTATATCTTCGTGGTAATTTGTTATGTAGCAATAGGAAAATGATACAACAGGAAAAAAAAAAGCTTGAAGGGTAAACTTCAAAAATCTTATAAAATAAAACTGTCAGATGGTATATTATGTCTAGTTGGCCAATCTGAAAATGATGACTAAATGAAAAAAAAGAATTGATGGAAAATTATGATTCCCATTTAATATATTTTATAGCATTATTTTTGTTCAATGCTAGGATGGTTTTGTAATCTATTGATATATTCATAAAATTATATATGTATTTTAAAATTTTTGTCTTTTTTATTTTTATATCTAAATATTTTAAGAAAATTCTACTGTCCCAACTTCATTTGAAAATTTAAGGGTCTTTGATTAATAGTAAAGAAACGTAGGAATGGAGTCCTTAAAGATTCACCGGGTTTTTGACTTCTTGTAGCATTGCTCATGTTATAGCAATATAAAATTTTAGCTGAAATGAGTCCTACTATATTTAAATACTCGAGACTGTCACTAACTTTTAAATTATAATGTAGAATCAAAAAAATTATTAATCCTATTTAACAAAATCACTCCCTAGTTATCTTCTGGCTTCATGTGATGATTTAACTTTCAAGTCAACGGACAGTCCTTATGTTTAACTTTTGTCCTCTTTTCTAGGAAACATACAAAAGTCTCCTATAAAACAAAAAAGCACGTTTTTTTAATGCTCATTTTTTTTCTACATGGGCATATCAGCAGCAAGTCTTGGTTTCAACCAAAATCATTAGATTTTACTATATGATAAGTAGATAAAAGATTAATATATAAATTTACTGAAAGTTAAAATAATGGGTACCAGAATTAAGGGGTATTAGTTAATAAAAATTTTATCCACTTTTGTCCTATTTGTCTCTCTCTCTCTGTTTCTGTCTCTCTCTCTCTCTCTCCCTCTCTCTCTCTCTATATATATATGTATATATGTATATTTGTTTGTTTTTGGTTTTTTTTGAGACAGAGTCTCACTCTGTCAGTCACCCTGGCTGAAGTGCAGTGGTACAACGTCGGCTCACTGCAACATCTGCCTCCTGGGTTCAAGTGATTTTCGTGCCTCAGCCTCCCAAGTAGTTGGGATTACAGGCACCCACTACCATGCCCAGCTAATTTTTGTATTTTTAGTAGACAGGGGTTTTCACCATGTTGGCCAGGCTGGTCTTGAAATCCTGACCTCAGGTCACCCTCCTGCCTCGGCCTCCCAAAGTGCTGGGATTACAGGCGTGAGCCACGGCGCCCAGCCATTTGTCTCCACATTTTGTTAGTTAATTTTCATCATTTATCAGTGGAACTCTAGGGTCAATGTAAGTAAAATCTCTGTTAAACCAAAGATACTTTTAGAGGCTTTCCATTGCTTACTATCTATTAACATGAAATAATTAAAATGGCTCCTGAAGATATCAAATACAAAACCAGAGCAATGCATATCTATTATGCAGAAATGAGCTTAATTTTTCCCAAAAGAAATTTTAACCAAGAATTTTTATTGTCTTTATCATGTAATATATTCAGACTAAAACAAAAACAACAAAGTGCAAACTCAAGATCATCATCATTTAAAATAGACATTATTACTTTACAATTGCCTAGGCTATTAAATATTAATTAATCAAAAGAATTTTTTCTGCAACTCCGCAAGTATTTACTAATAATTATCCAAATAGTAAGGCAAATTGAGTGTTTAAAACACTCCCACATCCTACCTGCTGTAAGTTTAAAAAAAAATTGCAGGAAAAGATAATAAAACAGCATACCAAATTTTTATCTCCTTCAGAAATAACAATGGGTTAACAACACAGAGTTTTGTAAAACTACTTAAACATTTTTAGCTTAGAAATTTAAATTCTGAAAACAGCTTGGCTTACTTCTTTTAGGAGAAAAGTCTCATGCATTTTTATCTATGTCTATGTTATTTAATATTCTACACCTTACTTGAGCTAAGTTTCTATTCTGAAACAAAATTTAAAAAAAGAATACCACTGAGATACTTTGAGAGTGCGCTCTGCCAAATATTATTATGCCCTGGTCGTATCTGGGCATTATCATTAGTGTTTTGCTGTAGTTTTATTTTAACTCTTTTTTTAAGCTTTGTTATGACCTTGGGCACGGATAAGCTCATTAAAAATTAAATTGCTTATTATAGCCTGGAATCACTTTCCACTTTGATCAGAAAGCACAACAGGTTCCTTGAGTGGATTTACCTATAAAATATTCTAGTAATGAGAACAGAAAAGGCAAGTGTAATAACCTTAATGCTGAAACAAAAGCTGCAGAAATGCTACCACGAGGTTGATAATAAACATTTTATATGGAGAAAGAAACTATAGATTTGTGATATTAAAATTTGGTTTTCTAGCTTGTTAGGTAAGCATCACAACTTGGAAATCTAGTTGCTTATTTTGGTTATACAAAATTATATTCTGCCACTGTATACTTTGCTGATAATATGCTCATGCCAACCAACATCCCTCTCTCCTTCACCCCAGGCTGGAGAGTACCATGAACAACCCTTGAGTAATTATACCAAACAGAAAACAATTTAAGTGGGTAGCATTAAAATGAATCCTAAATTGGGTATCTCAATATACAGAAAGCTTTATTCTTCTTTTTAAAAATTCTAAAGCTGTATTTCACAGTTTTGATTGTGCTATAACAATTTAGGTTGGTATAGCTCTATTTCTAGTGCTTTAGTGTAACTTATAGTTTTCCACCTTTTCAGCATGTGGGAAGAGTAATAAAGTAAAAGCAGGATGGATTATACCAAACATTTATAGTAATTATATATGAACTAAAATATTCTGAAAACCTTTACTTGCATTGAAATTCCTCCATATTTACAGTACATCAACTCATTTACGTTTGAAATTTAAAGGGTCTGCCCTTGGGATTTGATTGTATAGATGAATATGAAAAGAGTTGGCAATAAAAACCATGTTTATGTCTACTCACTCTCTTTGAATGTAGTTACATTAACAGGGAGAAGAGAAAGCTTTTCAAGTTATTTCCTTTAATGCTGAAAAAAAAGATTCTAATCAGAGTATACAATTTGGTATTATTTAAATAAAAACCTTAATGCTGTTCAACACAAATTGCTGATTATGACAAAATGATTGGGCTCCTCAAAGTACATCCTAATCAAATCATTACTCTTTTAACATTAAGTTGATGCCAATCAAACAAGCAAGGCCTACTGTGTGCTTAGGAATTTCTGAGATAATAAAATGAATATAAGCTATTAGAAATCAATGATGTTTAAAACAAACACTGAGATAAAATGCACTTCTATTATTAATGATTAAATGAATTTTGACTTGTAATTCACTTTGTACTCCAAATATATTATAAAGGAATTTGAGCAAAGCAAATACTTGTCATTCATATATTGCATCCTTCTGGGGCCACCTGTTTTTCTGGCATGAGTATGTACTTACAGTCCTGTGGAGTATTTACTCCGGGTATTACTTGGCATTAAAATTTGGTTTTATTTCTAATTTCTAGTAATTTTATTACTGTTGTCCAAAATTTAGATACAATACCTATTACTACTTTTTACATACATAAATAATAATTTTAAAACATTCAATGTTTATGACATCTTAACAGTAAAGAGAATAAAAATAATCAACTACAGCTACAGACAGAGATGTAAACTTGGAATTCATTTACAAAGACAATGGCCAAGGCAGTCAATTCCACGTTGCCATGGAGTTGCTACCTTTCATATATTTACCTATCATATTATAGTTTAACTATCGTAAGTTTTAATTATAAATAATACTAAAACTTTTATATTCTTGTTTTATATTTATAGCTTTTTACCTATGGTGGCATTTGCTCCATAAGACATATTAGCAATCATTACATTTCATGATGAAAAACTATATGTAGATTCTAGTTCTTTAATCTACTGGTAAATTGGTTAATTAAGCCATTTTATTAGTTTACAGTGACATGAGCAAAGGAAAAATGATAACATGTTTATTATTTTCTCAATATTTTATTGTTACTTTTATTTATATGACAGTAGCAAACAAAATCTATTATTACTTGAATTAAGATATATTTTTGTTTTGTTTTAACTTTACAATTTGTTTTCTATACCATTTGTCTACATGTCTACTAAAGTCTAGAATATTTTACGAAATTCGATGAAATGTACTTAGCCTCTTTTATAACATGTTCTTTCTACAAATATAAATTAGTCCTGAGGCTTTTATTTCCATGTTTTGATTTCACCAATGTTTTAAGGAGTAAAAGCAACTGGGCTGTAGCTCATTTTTCTCCCCTTACCTATGGGACATTCCCAGAGAAGAAAGGCAGATGACCCAGGCTAATCTTCCTGAAAACATGCTGATAATTGGACCTCTTGGCAAATAGACTAATTATATTGCTATGAGAAGAGTCTTTATCTATGAAATGCTTAAGCAGACTGCCTGCAGTGTAGGATGCTTTTGGAAAGCAAACCTAGAATCACTGGATTTATGAGACGCTTGTCTTGGAAAATGTCTTATAAGCTACAACTACACGAGTTATAAGCAAAATTCTCTTTGTGAAGCATCTGACAAATCTCCTTAGAGATCTCATCCATCATTCCAACCAGAAATCACATGTCCTAAAGCAAAGATGGGTGGTGGTCCCCCAATATCCCAGCCAAATCCCCGCTTCCACTGTGCATTGCCACTTGTTACTTTAGAATTATTAGAAAGTATTTCATAAGGAATCTGATTCATGAGAATCTGATTTGACAAATCAAACTTTTTTTGTGTTATCTCATATATACACATATGTGAACACACATACACATTCACATATTTATAGTAGTATGTTTCCTGTTTTCAAATGCCATTTTTCTACTAACAAAATTTCTTATGTATAAGATGAATATGTACATATAGAAATATGTGTACATACATATATATAAAAGCGCTTTATGTGCCAAAACTTGTGCTAGGTCACAAATGAGACATTGTAATTAGTAATTTATAGTGTAATGAGTTCTATAGCCTAGGTGCAGAATGAGGAAATACAGAAAAGAGAAATTGATCCAAATTAGATACATAAAATAAGCTATAAATAGACATAAGCTACATTTCCTGGAGACTTGGGGATAGTTTATTCCTAGCCCAAATGTACTAATAAAGATATCATTACTACCAGTGGGGTTCTACATTTATTAAAAAAAAAAAGTAGCATAGCCTCTTGTGGTGGGCACTGAAGAGTAAGAAACTTTATTTGAAGATTGGAAAATCATCAATTAATGCAATGTGATGGTGGATCATTTCATAAAATTGTCTCCTATGCAACTGACAAGGCAGATAATGTACTAAATAAGTCCTTGGTTTTCATTGAATAAGTCAGGGAATAAAATGTCTCAACATTGGCTGAATTTCAAAGAGTACTACAAGATAAGTTCAGAAAAGCAAGTCCCTTACAAATACAATTTTAAAACAAATTCGATGAGCCTATATTTTGGGACTTGCACATTTGAGAGATGTAGCTAATCACCATCTAACTGTGAAAACAAAACTGAGAAGACATGATGGGGCAAAATAGAATAAAACCAGTCTCCTGGTAAAGACTGAATCAACATTATGACCACCATTCCTCTGTTAAATGTTCTAACTCTGATTACATTGCTATCCAGTAAATACTTCCAATTGGTTAAAAGTGGTTCAGAGGAAAAAGTCTAACATACCATATTTTTGAGTTCAAAGTGTCTGTAATTAAAACTGGAAAAACATTTGCTACAAAACTTTGTGTATGGCTACTGGCACATGGAGCTGATTGGATAAAGGTTTCTGAGAGATGTAAATCCTCAAACCATTCACCAGTGATTGGCCTTGAGCACCAAATTCCTGTGGAAAATATGCTTAGGTCCCAAGGAGAGACTTTCTCTATTGCCTTTTTTTCATGGAACCAAGGAGGATATTAATAAAGAATCAAGAAGGCAGAGGCAAGGTTCATCGAAAAGAGTGGTCAAGGATACTACCCTCCCCCAGAGGGATTTCATAATTGTTATGGAAAAGTATCTGTTCTGAAACTGTCATTCCTCCCCTTTGTGAACAAGACAGCTTGTCAAGGTTATCCTCTATTTATTGCATGTGTCCTTTGAATTCTTTGGTATCTAGATCAAGATAAGCTACTCGCAGGTCTGACCTGGAAAATGTCCTGTGACTCTGGACATTGATCCTGATGCTATACTGGGACTCATGGACGTACTTCCTGTAGGAAGGGTCTGAGCATATTTGCGTGTAAATGGAAAGGAAATGATGTTCATGACCAAGAGGACAGTCTATCTATCTATCTATCTATCTATCTATCTATCTATCTATCTATCATCTATCTTCTATCTATCATCTATCATTTATCTTTCTATCTATCATCTATCTATCTTTCTATCATTTTTATTTTCAAATTTTCATTTTCTCTGTCCCACTGATCTCAAGCTTGGTGTTATAATTGTGGGGGTGAAAAATAATGGTACCTCCAAGATGTCCATGTTATGATCTCCAGAACGTGTGAATGTATTACATTACATGAAAAAATAAACTTTTTTCAGATATTATTCGCTTTCCAATATGATTGCAGATATAATTCATTTATGGATCATGGGATGGGGAGAGAATCTTGGATTTTCTAGTTGGCCCATTGTAATCGCAAAGATCTTCAATAGGGAGGCAAAAAGGAGGGTCAGAAGGATATGTGAGGAGAGAAGCAGGAAGGAGAGAGAGGAAAGAGAGAGGGAGAGGAGGGGAGGGAGAAGAGGATGAAGAGGGGAAAGACAGAGTGCTGAAGGGGAAGGGAGTGAGAAGACAAAGGGCAGAAGAGAGAGGAGAGAAAGTGGACAAGAGATAAGAATGAGATAAAAGAGAAGAGAGAGAAGGAAGAGAGGAGCAAGGAAGGAGAAGAGAAAGTGAGGAGAGGGGAGAGAGAGGAGAAGGAGGGAAGAGAGGAGAGGGAGAGGTAGAAAGGAGGAGACAGAGAGAAAAAGAGAAGAGGAAGGGAAGAAGAGGAATAGAGAGGGGAGAGAAAGGGGAGAGAGAATGGTATTTGAAAATGCTATTCTGTTGCCTCTAAGACAGAGGAAGAAGACAGTAGTCAAAAATGCAGGTGGCCACTAGAAACTACATAAAGAATAAAATGGGGGTTGCCCCCTTGAGCCTCTTTCTAGAGGAAAGGCAGCCCTGTTGATGCCTTGACTTTAGGAATTCTGACCTCTAGAATGGTAGAATACTGAGTGTGTAGATAATAGATTGTGGTAATGTGTTATAACAATAGAAAACTAATATGACTTTCAGTTCTCATTCCTATGGTAAATTGTACTGCCCCACCATACTGATGTCCTTCTTGACAATGTCACTTGTTTAAATTAGTAAAACATGAGCAGAAGTGCAATGCGCCTCCAAGAAGCTGAAAAGCTATCACATTTCTACGGCGTTTTCCTAGGCTTTATCTGTCACAAGAACAGCAGTGTTCCAGATAAGAACAGCACCATTAACTGGGCTCCGCAGTGAAGACACGTGTCGTAAAACCATACATGAACCACAGTGGTTCTAAATACGAATGTGAATGAAACCATTGCTGTCATTCTTCATTTGCTATAAGGTTGGTTTGGCCAGATGTATAGGATAATTAGGACAGAATGGAGATCATTCTCCATAATTTCTGTCTTTACATACAAGATTTATATGCATTGCCTTTCATATTTGTTTTTACTTCAGCACAATTTTCTGAATGTTTCATTATGTATGTTATAAACATGTCGATATTTTTGCTAGATGTTACTCTTTCATACTTCCTTATCTGCAATTCTTGGTACATAAGGAAAAAGAAACATGAATTTGACTTTACATAATTTGAAGCCTATGTGTATAAAAATAGATTAGAAACCCTTGCATTTCATTAAATGTCTTTTCCATTGTGCATGATATTTACATCCTTGTGTAATCCCTTCTACATGAATGTGGGATGGACTTAGTGACTCACTTTTAAGAAAGAGAATACAACAAAAAGTGATGGAATGTCACTTCTGAATTGTGTTAGAAGAAGATTGTGAATTCCATCTTACTTGTTCCAACATTCTCTCTGGGTTCAACCTAGGGGAAGTCGGTTGCCATGTTGTGAACTGTCCTGTGGAAAGGCCCACATAGCAAGGACCTGAGCCTGCCAATGGCCATGTGGATTGTGGCCATTTGTGGTCTTCAGTCCTTATCATATATGGGCTTGGGCTTGGAAGTGAGTCACCCCCCATTCAAGACTTGAGATGACTGCACCTCTAGCCAACAACTTAGTTGCAGCATTGGGAGACATCCTGAGCCTGAGGATCCAGTTAAGCTACATGCAGATTTCAGATGCACAGAAATTATGAGATAATCAATGGTTTACGTTGCTAAGTTTTGGGATCATTTCTCATGCATTGTTAAATAACTAATACATATTTTGGTGCCTCAAAGTAGTGTGTTGACATAACAAATACCTAAACATTTGGAAGTATTTTTGGGATTAGCATTGAGCAGAGGCTGAAGGGAATATGGGAAGCATGTTAAGAAAAGCCTGTTTCTTTGAACAGATTCATTAGAAATCTTGACATTGAGGAAGTCAATGGAGGTCAAAAGGAAATGAAGAATGAGGAACATGTTTTTGGAAACAGAAGGAAGGGGGATCTTTGTTCTAAAGGGATAGAAGTCTTAGAAACAGTATTACCTTCCTTAACATGGAAAGTATAAAATGTGGGGTGATCTAGCTCAGGAGATTTCCAAGCTAAGTATTCAAAATGCTACTTGCTTTCTTTTTGATGCTTATTCCAAAATGTGGAAGGAGAGAAATAAATTGAGGGAAGAACAGTTAACTAATGGTAACTAGGGATCGGTTTTGAAATTTCTCAGCCTCTCCATATTGCAAAAGAGGTGAAAATTAACAAATGGCTTTTGAGCAAATTTCAAATCCAGGTCACTCCCACAGAAAATGTGAAAAATGTTTGTTGTTTTAACCCACTACATTTTGGGGGTAATTTGTTATGCAGTAATGAACAACTAATACAGTCAATCAGCTGGTGGCTCTATGTGATCAGAGGATTAACTATGCTGCCAAATTACTCTAAAGATATCATCCCTAGTAGTGTCTAATATTAAGAATTGAAGAATGCTAATACCTTTGCTTAAGGTACCATATCTCATCACCTCAAAAATCACTTAAACTCTCACTCACTCTCTCCTGTTTTCTCTCAGAACCAAAGCTGTGATTTAAGCATGGATAGTTAGATCTAAATGTTTAGTTTTTGTCAAGGCGACCATGACCAATAAAATATCTTCCCTCTTCTTTCTTACAAGATGAACAGAAAGAGGTGACTTAAACATTTTTCACATATATCATGAAGGATAATAATTTGTTCCATATAAAGTAAAGTCAACTTAGGACAAAACAGAAGGTTAAATCTCATTTTACCAGCTTTCTCCCATGATTACATTCTTTCATTTACTCTTAGAATTCTTCCATTACTCTTAGGAAATTTTGACTGTTCTACATGGTGTAGTTGGCATTCACTGTAAAGTAATGTCTGGTTTACACTGCAGACAGGCCTTCTTCTGACTGGAATGTTGATAAGAACTTTCCATGAGTTTGGGAACATATGCTAACCACTGAATATAAATATGGAGGCATGGAAATGGAAGGTGATGAGTAAGGGGAGTTGAGGTCAAGGAATACTGTGGAGTAGTATCAATAGGAGCAAAATGGGAATGGGTGGATGACAAAGTAGCTTTCATTTTGCTTGAAGGAAATTCCTGGCCGGGCGCGGTGGCTCAAGCCTGCAATGCCAGCACTTTGGGAGGCCGAGGCAGGCGGATCACGAGGTCAGGAGATCGAGACAATCCTGGCTAACACAGTGAAACCCCGTCTGTACTAAAAATACAAAAAAATTAGCCAGGCGTGGTGGCGGACGCCTGTAGTCCCAGCTACTCGGGAGGATGAGGCAGGAGAATGGCGTGAACCCGGGAGGCAGAGTTTGCAGTGAGCCAAGATCGCGCCACTGCACTCCAGCCTGGGCGACAGAGTGAGACTCTGTCTCGAAAAAAAAAAAAAAAAAAAAGAAATTCCCTTATTTTTATGAATAACCAAACACAAAAATAAGAACTAAGGTTCATACTTTCAGCATTCCAGCCTTGTAAGAACCATTTCATCACATTTTTATCTTTATTACACTTTTAATTCTAGTTTTCATTTTTTCTACATCTAGAAAGAGATTGTTCAAACTAAGAATCTGGTATTATCTCTGGGGGGGAAATAAATGAAAGAATAGGAAAATACGCACACTGCAAATTTCCTACCAGTGGGAGGAAAATGCAAATTAAAGAAACGGTGGAATCTGCTTTTGACTAAGATGGAATAACTGGCACCAAATTTAGCACAGCTCTCTCCCCTTCTCCCTAAAACAATAAAAATAAAAAAGAAAAAGAAAAAGCAATGTGTGTGTGTATGCATACATATACGTATATACGTATTTTTAAAAAATCAATCCCAAATATGTTTCCTTTGTTTTTTGTTGTTGTTGTTTGTTTTTTGTTTTTTTGTTTTTGTTTTTGAGTCAGGTTCTCGCTCTGTCACCCAGGTTGGAGTACAGTGGTGATCATGACTCCTCAACCTCCCGAGCTACAGTAACCCTCTAACGTCAGTCTCTTGACTACCTGGGATCACAGACGCCCAGCCGCACACCCAGCTAATTACTTTTTATTTATTTATTTATTAATATTATTATTATTATTATTTGTAGCAACAGGGTCTCAGTATGTCGCTCAGACTGGTCTCAAACTCTTGGGTTTTAGTGATATTCCCACCTCAGCTTCCCAAAGTGCTGGGATTACAGGTATGGGCTACCATGCTTGGCTGCTCCAGATCCTTGAAGTTGACTGAATTCTTTTTCCAATTCCTTGCTTCCCCCTGTCATTAGAGTTACACATCCATAGCCTTGCTGGTGAAGCATCATTGGAGAGAAGGTAGAAAATGCGTCCCTTACCTACTGACTTTGAGCTTAGTCATTTGACATAGTTTCATCCATATGTATTAGCAGTCATGAGGTGAATGGAGGCTTAAATAAACTTGACTGGTTTGGAATTGCCTTTTTATACCTCTGAGTTCCTTAATGAGAAGAATGTCTCCCTGGGTAGTTTTTAAACCCAGAAAGAGGACACCCAAAGAGCATACCTGTACCCAATGACAAGCTCAGCTGATTTCAGCTGAGTGCAGCAGAGGCATACTTGACCTATGTCGGTCAGTAAGACATGTATACGTTGTTGTTGTTAGCCATTGACAGGCTGGGGTTGTTGGATATAGAAAATTATCAAAAAAGAGCTCATTCAATTGTAATATCATTTCGTTATGTTATCTTTTGGGCATGCCTGTCCTTTGGCTAAATTCTTATTTTATTAAATTCTATTATTCTGATGTTAACTTTATCCGACAAAAAAATTCCTACCATAGATTGATTTTGGTTCATATTAACTTAGGGTAGCATTTTTTAAAAACTTTATCTTCTGCTTTTTTTGCATAGTGTTATTTTAAGTATTTTTGTCTTTTGGACAGCTCTTGGTTGCTTGTTGTTATTGGGATGGTAGGAGTAATTTTTGTGCAGTCTTCCAGTTTTAGTATTTCAATGGATGAGCATTATTAAAATTATTGAGATTAATGTTGCATTATGTGTTAGTTTTACTCCAATTTTTAATGTATCTCTAATTTTTCATTCTTTTATGTTTTCACATTTCTATTTTGTTCATTTCTTCAATTTTTTAGGGGTTCTTTTTCAATGTTTTGTTTGCTTACAGATTGCTTTTTTTCTCTGTTATGGTTTATATGGGGCATCCTGTCTTCGGACGCTAGCTTTCTAGGAGCACTAAATTATATTCTGATAAAAATAAATACTTAAAATCTTTATAAACAAATGGCATATGTAAAGAGTATAAGATATATACAAAAGCCAAAATTAAATGGGATACAGTCACCTTGGGGTGTAAGGAAATTACAAAGTCTTCTTGAGGATATTTGTTTAGGTATGCTGGAGCTTCCATTATGAAAGACATAGCCAGCATTCAGAAGAAGATAGGCTGGCCTACCCAAGGTGAAAAGTCTTATAGAAGCAACCCAAATAAAGCCAGAATGCTCAAAGTGTAGATGAATGAGAAACAATCCAGTCCGTGAAAACGTGCCTTTACATAATTTGTTTTTGTTCCTAAGGGGTAAAAGGAATGTCCTTTCAGCATGTGATAATCAAAGCTGGACATCAAGAGGATAAAAGCCCAAATATGAACTGCATGTATATTTTACAAGTACAAGCAAGTAATTTAATTCATAATATTCAAGGATTGACAGGGCCTTCCTGAGTATATGCAAAACGCCACTGAATAAATGCAACTGCAACCCATTCTCAAGGAATTAACACAGGAAAATTATTCCAAAGAATGTGACCAGTATATGCTATTTTAAAAATGGGGCACTACACCTGAAAGGTAACATAATGCAGACAGTAGAATTACACCTTCAAAGACTTGACATAATGAAATCATGGGAATATAAGAAAATTATATTCAATGTGATTTCATAAGTACAAGAAAGTTTTGAAAATATGCCCAAGAAGCAAGAGTCCAAAAACATGACCAGATTTTAGACAGGACTAATTATTACTAGTAAAAAGTATATTTCTATATGTACACATCTATATAACACAAAGGTTTTTTAAGTGAGTGGTCAAAGAGAAAGAGAACATAAGTGACTGGAAGATAGAGGCAAAGAAATTATCCAGCACATATCACAGAGATGGAAAAAAAATAATAAAACTTCCCAGGCTAAGAAACATGTAGAATACAGAGAACAAATCTAATATACAGCTACTTGAATGTCAGAATGATTACACAGAAGACAAAGTATTTGGTAATATAATGAAAGAAATTTTAGGATGGCAGAAAGATGACAATATTCAGAATCAGAAAACTCTACGTGATCTCAAACTTGACAAATGAAAAGAAAGCCTCACATACACATACACCTGTAAAACTGCAAAACATAAACAGTAGAGTATCTTTAAAACAGTCAAATAAAAATGTTGATCACCTGGGAACAAAAATTAGTCTGAGAGTTGATTTTTTCCTTTTTTTGAGACGAGAGCCTCACCTGGTCACCCAGGCTGGAATGCAATGGCACGATCTCGGCTCACTGCAGCCTCCACCTCCCGGGTTCAAGCGATTCTCTTGCCTCTGCTTCTCAAGCAGCCAGGATTACAGGCACATGCCACTATATCTGGCTAATTTCTTTGTATTTTTAGTAGAGACAGGATTTTGCCAAGTTAGCCAGGCTGGTCTTGAACTCCTGACCTCAAGTGATCTGCCCACCTTGACCTCCCAAAGTGCTGTGATCCCAAGTGCCACTGCGCCTGGCCTGAGAGTTGGTTCTTAACAACATCATTTGGAAGCCATAAGCCATTAGGATACTGTGAAGAAAGAACTGAGAAAAAATAGCTGTCAATTTAAAATTCTACACCAAAAAAAAAAAAAAATAGCTTTTCAAGTTCAAAAGAAAAATTGAAAAAAATCCAGCAAACAAAGTTGATGGCATTTATTACCAACAAACTTTCACTTAAAATAAATATGAAGAATGTATTGCAGATATAAAGAAAGTGATCTCAGGTGCAGGGATTGGGTAAAGAAAAGATTCCTAGACCGAAAAAAAAAAAAGAAAAAAAAAAGAAATTCCTAGAATGCGTATATTTAGAGCTGTGAGATCGAGTTAAAGGGTTCTAAAGGACCTAGTTTTTACATTTTACAAAATGTAAAATATTAAGTATGCATGTAAAATTCAAAAAGTGGAATGTGAAAAAAATCACTGTAAAGTTAATAAAGACTTTAAGAAAAGTAGAAACAGAAAATATTAGACAAATTGTACATATTGAGGTCATAGAAATACTGTCAGCCTACCACTAATCATATGCACTGTATATGGTCTAAATACTTTTCACGGTGAGGGTTTATTAGACTGAGTTAACAAATAATAATACAGTTTTTTGCTGCTTAGAGACCTACTGGTAAGTAAACATACAGAAAATGTGACAGGAAAAAAGAGAAGAAAAAAATAAACCAGGCAAATACTCATTAAAAGAAAGCTGATGTAGTCATATTAATATCATACAAATGTGAATTTGAGGCAAATGTCTTAGTAGACTCACAGTTATTATCTATGTATTAATAAGGCCTTTTAAAACCAGAAATATGTAATATTTTAACTGAGGCACCCTTAATATCATGGTTTGAAACATATAAATAAAAATTTTGTAGAACTTTAAGGAGAAAATGACAAACCCACACTAAAATTGAGATATTTCCACAGGCCTCTCAGCGACTGATGAATAGAGACAAAAATAGCAAAGTGCAAATCAAATGTTTTCAGAACACAATAAAAATTGCTTTGTGATTTTTAAAATATTATATCCAGAGAAAAAATCAAAATGAAATTGTAGGGCTGTTTGAAAAGAATCATAATGAAAGCATGTGATATCAAAATTAGTGAGTTGAAGCTTAAACAGAAATTAGAAATGTGTCCTTGAATACTTATCTAAAAATAAGAAAAGTTGCAAATTACTGTGTTAAATATCTGCCTTAGGCAGTTCATAAGCAGTACGGCAATATAAACTTTGAAAAAGATGAAAGGAATTAATAAAGATCAAAGCCAGGATCAATGAAAAATATATTCAACAGAGATGTGAACATAGTCAAAAGTTTGCATAGGCCTGGATGTCATCAGAGCTTTTCACATTTTGTTCTTATTCTGCTTCCAGGCACTTTCCACCCTATTGAATTCAAGCATGGCTTTGCAACTTATTCTGACCAAGAAATTGTGTGCAGAAGTGACTTAGGATTTCTGTGTGGATTCTTTGGGGCCTACTTTTCCACTTGAACCCTGTGAGATTTTATATACCTGCCACATAACTCAAACTATCCTGTTGGTTCTTTGAAAATAATCATAAAACAGACAAAGCCTTGGCTAATCATAAACACACACATACAAACACAGAAACGTGCACACACAAACAATATATGGATATATTTTTAAGGAAGAAAGAGAAATAATACACATGATGCAGATATTAAAATATAATTTAAAGAGCTATAATGACTATCATGCCAGTGAATTTATAAAATAAAAAAAATTTTAGAAATACTGTAGCAAGATTGAGTCAAGATTGACTCAAAATCTTTAATAGTTCTCTACCAATTAAACATTTCAGTCAGTATTTTAAAATCCTTACACAAATGAAACACCAGAGCCAAGTGGCCTTACAAGCAAGTTGTATCAAATAGTAAATAAACCTGATCTTACATAAATTCTTACAGAGGTAAAGGAAGGAGCATTTGTTACCTTATTTTATAAGGCTAACAAAACCTTAATACCAAAACCTGCAAGGAGAGTGATAGGAGAATGAAAATTACCAGGCTAGTCATTAGTACACAGTACAGTATTAGCAAAATGAATCCAGTAGTAAATTTAAAGAAAAGGCAAAGCTTACATAGTTGGGTTGATCCCTATTAACAGACAAAAGAAGAAAAATATAATGTATGTTATTTTCTTGATAGAAAAAAAGAGTGTTAGTAAAAATCTTTATCAATTTGTGATTAAGTTACTAGAAATTTAAAGCAAAATGCCCTCAAGTAAGGGCATCATAAAATAATAAAGTACACATAATTTGTATGGTAAAGTATTAAAGCAGTTGCTTTTAGACCAGATACACTGTCATCACTTCTTTTCAACATTGTACTTGAAGCCCTAACCATGAAAGTGAAAAAAGAAAGAAAATTGATTGAAAAATGAAGTAACAAAAGCATGACTATTTTCAGATTTTCTATTCAGAAACTCCAAAGAAACCACGGGAAAATTCTAAAATTAACATATGAGTTTGCAAATTTTTCCGGATGGGTGATCAATATGTCAATCAAAGTTTTATACACAACAAATAATAATTTGTAACGTAAACTAAAAATGATGATCATAATACCTATACTAAAAATTTAGATATGCCAACTCATAATAGAGATTACTTTTTATTATTTTATTTATTTATTTTATATTTTATCTTAGAGATGGCGGTCTTGCTTTGTTGCCCAGGCCGGAGTGCAGTGGTGCAATCATAGCTTACTACGGCCTCAAAATCCTGGGATCAAGCTATTTTCCCACCTCAGCCTCCCAAAAAGATTATTTACTTATAGAAAATAAGACTTTATTGAAAGACATTGACGGAGTTATAAATATTGGGAGAAGGTTATGATTTCGATTGCAATTTTGTGAAGTTGTCAGTTCTCCCCAAATTGATCCATAGGTGAATGCATTCATAATCAAAACCTCATGGTATTTTACTTTAGAATTTGTTAAACATAGTCTAAAATTTATATGAGAGAACAAAGGACAAGAAATAGCCAAAACTTTCCTGAAAAATAAAGAACAGGAGTTACTAATAGTATTAAGATTATGTGGCATTGTGGCAAGAAGAAGCAGACAAAAGATGTTCAAAAGATGTTGTAAGAGTGTATTTTCTTCTCTCTGAGTAGTAAGGATTTCTTAAATCAAATGTAAATAGCACAATGAAAATATTGGTTACCCTGTCACTATTAAAATTTACACAGTTCTTTTCACTAAAAAACAACATGTACAGAAGGGCTGTGGTATAGTCGTACTGTCATTACACTAATGGTTTTAGAGTGTAAACTTGTGCAATCATATTGTAAAACAATTTAGAAATCTCTTGTGAAGTTCAAATTATATGTACCTTATCATAAATTTTCAAGGACAAACCTTACAATTGGGTACCAGGAGTCATGTTCCCATAGATACATCAATCAGAATAGAGAAAAAAAAAATCAGCTGCCTAAATTTTCATTAATGGGAGAATAGTAGAATGAATGATTAAATTATGGTAGAATCATACCACAAAATACTATTTAGCAGTACAAATGAGTAAATGCATAAACATTATTGATTCTGAAAAAGCAATATGAATTTAAAATTTTATAAAATAGAGAATTCCATTTGTATAAAGTACAAAAAAGCAGAAAAACAATTTAGAGTTGATAAATAGATCAGCAATAAAACTTTGAAACCAAGAAAAGAAGAATTCATGATATGATGACTTTGAGATGGGAGGAAGAGGAATGAACCCAGATCAAATGAATTTAAGGTTTAGCCAATGTTCTAGCTCATCATCTGGGAGTGGAGTACATGTATGCTCATTGTATTAAAATGTGTATTCATGTGTGCTGCAGCATATGGGGTTTTTTTGTCTTTTTTCTGTTTGTTTTTTCTTTTTTTGTGTCTCATTATGTTGCCCAGGCTGATCTGAAACTCCTGGGCTCAAGCGATCCTCCCACCTCGGTCTCCGTAAATGCTGGGATTACAGGTGTGAGCCACTGTGGCTAGCTCTTCTTTTAAAAATATGACAAATTTCACAACATTAGTAGTTTTTTTGTTTTGTTTTGTTTTGGGACAAGTCTCCCTATGTCGCCCAGTCTGCAGTGCTGTGGCATGATCATAGTTCACTGCAGCCTTGAATTTCTGGGCTCAAACTATCCTCTCACCCTAGCCCCCTGAGTAGTTGGGACCGCAAGTGTGCTCCACCACATCTGGATATTTTATTTTTTTCTTTTCATTTTTCGTAGAGACGGGGTCTTGTTATGTTGCCCACGTTGGTCTTAAACTCCTGAACTCAAATGACCCTCCTGCCTTGGCCTCCCAAAGTGCTGGGATTACACGCCTAAGCGACCACACCTGGCGAATATTAGCAATTTTTAAACTTAGAAAGGTATATTTATACATGTTATGCTTTTCTCCTCATGCTTACACCTACCTTTTTTTGACCTGTGTTTCTACTTTTCTCTTACCAATGTTAAAACTTAACAATTATGTTCACTCGCCAAGTAAGTTTAAAAACTTAACAAAACTTGTACATTTTTCTAGTATTCCTAAAATAACTCATGTTTATTTTTATGTCATTGTCTATTTATTAAATATTTTTCTTCCAGATGTATTGTATGTACAACAAATGTTCCGAGGTCTAGAATGCCTGGAGTCTTTTATGTAGCATCTTTGCATTTATATGTTAGTGTGAAGTGCTTTACTTATGGTAATTTAGGAATATTACTTTTTTTTTTTTTTAGACGTAGTCTCTCTCTGTCGCCCAGGCTGGAGTGCAGTGGCGCGATCTCGGCTCGCTGCAAGCTCCGCCTCCCGGGTTCACGCCATTCTCCTGCCTCAGCCTCCCTAGTAGCTGGGACTACAGGCGCCCGCCACCACGCCCCGCTAATTTTTTGTATTTTTAGTAGAGATGGGGTTTCACCGTGTTAGCCAGGATGGTCTTGATCTCCTGACCTCGTGATCTGCCCGCCTCGGCCTCCCAAAGTGCTGGGATTACAGGCGTGAGCCACCACGCCCAGCCCACTTTTTCTTCCATTCAGTGTTGTAGTTGAGAAATTTAATGTTGATCTTATGTTCCTTTTATGAGAACATTTTTGTTTTCTTTCTGGGAGATTGTCACTGATATTCTTAAATTTCACTAGCATGTGTCTAGTGCCAGTCATTTCTTGTTTTCCTTTTTGGTGTTTTCTGAGCCAGTCATTTCAGTCTAAGTTGTATTAGACTTATTTTCGAGCCCTGCACAGCATCCTGTACATTTCAGCAGCCCCTGTGTTTTAGCAGTCTTGGTGGACAGTGTCCTGGGTCTTCTGGCAGCATCTCACCTCAGATACCAATTGCATCTCTCAGCTTTTCTGCCATCAGGAATTAGCTTATTCAGGGTGCCTGGAGCAGGCAGAATTTTGAGGAGTTAAAACCTAAGACTCTGTTCTGTGACCTCTGTTCTCACTCGTAAGTGGGAGTTGAGCAATGAGAACACATGGACACAGGGAGGGGAACATCACACACAGGGCCTGCCGGGGTGTGGGGGGCTTGGGGAGGGATAACATTAGGAGAAATACCTAATGTAGGTGACAGGTTGATGGGTGCAGCAAACCACCATGACACGTGTATACCTATGTAACAAAACTGCACGTTCCGCACATGTACCCCAGAACTTAAAGTATAATAATAATAATAAAACCCTCAAGACTATCCTTGGAGACAGTGGATACCAGTTCTAGGTTGGGTCCTCAGGGTCTCCAGCAGGAAGTGCCACCATTGCTCAATAACAAGCCGTTTTCTCCCTAGACAGCTTCATTCAAGTCTTCACTTGTGCTTCCTGGAATCACCTACATGAGGTGGTGGTTTTAGGTGCTGTTTCTGGGGAAAATAAAACTATGAAATTTATATTATGTCTTTCTATACATCCAGAAGCTCTACTGAATATTATTTCTGTAAATACTGTCTCCTTTCCATTTCCATTCTTCAAAAGCTCCTGTTAAAGAGAAACTGTTTCTTCTCATTCTATCCTTTAGAGTAATTATTTTTCTCATATTTTCTTTCTAGCTATTCCATCTTAAACATTTCTGGAAGAATTTCTCACCTCAATTTACCAGCTCACTAATTTTCACGTTGCCAATAGCTCATGAGAATTTTAATTAAAAAATGAGCTTTGGATAGCAGATGTAAGGTAAGTTGATATAGTGTAATTTGTATTGTTAACATTGTTTGAAAAATAATCATTTGACAAAAAGAAAAGTGATGTGATTAAATTTATTCTTTGTCAAAAAGAAATTCAACATGTCTCAATTTCTTTAAACCACTTAGAAAAATTAGACGAAGTCACCATAAATTTCTCCATGTCTTTAATTATTACAGAAATTTTAGAATTTTCTCACATATTCCATGATGTTCTTCAAACACACATACAAACATTATATACATACACATATATGCACACTGAATATTTTTAATCCTAATGACAATTTTTCTAACTATTAAAAAGTAATTCCAAAGTATTATGTTTGAATCATTTTTAGGTGAGATCCCAGTTAAAATTACACTCAAGTGCTGGAAAATATATATTTTTAATTGACACAAAACAGATCAGATACTTTAAGCATTTCTTGAAGTATATTCTGTATTTTTTATTTTTTAAACATCATATGTTCTTACAATGCTAATTTCAAAGAACTACTTTGAAACATAATTGTACAATTCTCCTTTAAAACTCTGGAAAATTCACAAGTAGAAAAAGAGAGTCACTTAGATTTGCCCTATTGCTTTTGAACAAAGTTACTTGTAAATACCTCTCCTTATTGTGGGCCATGGATTATATCAATAGCCTCAGCCAAAACCTTTGGACTTCTCTACTGCCATCTTAATTATGGCAATAGTTTCACAGGAGTGGTGAGAAAAATTAAATTCTTGTTGATAAAATGAAGGAGAAATGTACAATTAATAAAATCAAAACCATTTTAACTATTATATCTTTTTAAAGATATTCAAATTATTAGAATATCAAAATCTATAAATGAATATTAAAATAAAATTCATGTATAATAATTTACTTTATATTATGTTCTCTTTCTGTATATGTTTTCAACTATAGACATTTTTTCACCAGACCATAAGTTTCTATATTTAGTGCAGCATTAACCTTAATTTAAAAAGATGTTTTTATATTAAATGATTCATATGTTAATTCAAGCTTATTATATTTTGTGTGTCATAAAGCAAATAAAACCTATCATTTATATATTTGGAAATTTTAAATTTTGTTGTGGGTTATTAGTGAGATATATTTCAGGTTTATTTTTTCTATTCAAGGTATATAGCTTTGCCCTCATAACTGCTTAACTTTAAATGCTTAAATACTCAAATAATTATATATTGGCTAAAATGGCAATATTTTGATTGGCTGTCTCAACTATAGAGTGAATAATTAAGCATAAAATTGACTTTCAATATACAGTATCATATCAGCTTATTACCAAAAGATAATTGCATTTTGAACCAGTACTCATATTCATTTCAACTTTACAATCCATTTCAGCACACTGAATGTAGTAGGAACTCAACACATATAATTTGAATAAACCAATTAATAAAAGCTGATAAGAAATGTCAGAACTTTGGTTATTTTGTCAACTAGAGTTCAATAAGAGTTCCTGTTTGATTGATACAAACAGCTAATTAAAGTAGCTATTTCCATTTATATGATACCACCTTGATAATTTGGTACTAGATAAATATCTTTCCAATTATGTTTTCTCTTCTACCTTCTCTTATGGCATTTCTGAATCACAGGCCATGTTGTAATCTATTTCAATTCAATGTAGATTTTGATGAAACATCTCAGTATCTTGAACTTGGATATCTCCATTTTTACTAAAAATTTTCAAGGACATGTTTAAACGTGACACAAATCCCTGGTGAACTCACAACTCTTCTGTTTATAATGGCAATAAAAATCAAGATTAAAAAGATATAGCACATATTTATAGCTATACTTCGAACATTCTCTGAAAAACATCTTGACATTGAATGTTGCCGGCACATTTTGCATGGGATGAACAAAGTACGTCACAGGTAACTGTTTCTGTTCCAAATCTCTTTTCGCACTGTCTCCATCCGTGAAAAGTGGTCATAAGGGCGTCTTTGTAATTCATATACTCAAGAGCTTTACTTTAACGTCACAGGTAACTGTTTCTGTTCCAAATCTCTTTTCGCACTGTCTCCATCCATGAAAAGTGGTCATAAGGGCGTCTTTGTAATTCATATACTCAAGAGCTTTACTTTAACGTTCATTTTACAAATGAGAGCCTACTTAGATTTGGGTCAGTTTTATGTTTGGTCATATGAAGGCCAACTTTTGTACCACAGCAAAAGAAGAGATCAGGTGGGATTTGAACTAGGAAATCCAAGATGCCCTAGTGTCGAACCTTTCCTTTTATCTATATGGATCTTACCATTTCATTAATTTAAATTCTTCATTCTGGTTTAAGCAAAGGTGAAAGTACAACTTTAGCTAAAGGGTAACTGTACTTAGTTTGGTATAGATTCACTTACACGATATGTAAAATATGAAAAATGAATACAGCAATTATAATCACTTTGTTATTGCAAATTTTCTATGCAACTCAGGGAAATGCTTCAAAAGAAGGATTCCCAAGGTAATTTCTATTGAAAACCTGCAAAAGTAATCTTTCTACTGCATTTTTAGGTTAAAAAATGAGTTTCAACTAAAAATATGCCCCACACAGGCATTTTCTCCTAGTTCGAAAAATGTACTTAATTATCTTTAGGATAAGGATATTTTCTTTCAAATCTGCCCCCTGAGGTTCACTCACTTATTCCATACTTGTCACAGAAAGGTCAGGTCTTCCTGTTGTTTGTGGATACTTGGTCCACAAACTTAAAATGTTTGAAAGTCAAAGAAGAGAAAGAAGATGAAAATATTATTTCTTCCTTATATAACAACTCTTTTCCTCTTTTTTAAAAAATAAGTTTATCTCAAAATAAAGTACAGATTATTTTCACTTATTAAGTGCTCAAAATTGAAAAAAGAATTTCCAACTGTGAAATTGTACGTTATTAAACAATTCACAAGAGCACTCAATTAACTGTGAGAAACCAATTTAGAATGAACCACCCAAAAATCGTTATGTTGAAGAATAATACAATATTACTTAATAAAATTCAATTTTACCCATGCCATACAATCATAAATCTGGGTCAAATTATTCAAGAAAATATTGCATAATTGTTATACTATATCACCAGATTTTTTTTTCTAAAATGAAAAACTAAAAGCTATTAAAATCGGCAAGTTACAAGTAAGAGTTGTCACTATCTAGGAAACTTTCCCTACCCTTTGCATCAGTCATCTTTATTGCCTGATAGTTGTAGATGTTAGAAAATGACTGGCCACATACATAGAAAATGAATTTAGAAATATATAACTGGGTCACAAAAAACAATGAGAAGCCTAGAGAAGTAGATTCTGAAATCTCACTAGAATCAGGAAGCAGAGGTTAAACAGCTCAGCACAGTATGGTTCGAATGCTTCTACTGTCATTGCCATTACTGTATATTTGTCAGTGTCACTCCTGTTTTCAATTCTAATGAAGATGCCAGAAGAAACCTAATGCTGTTGCCTCTTTGTCTCCCACCGTCTGGAGTCGTCACTGTGGGTGATGGCATTTTATCGGCTCCTTCTCTATCCTTTGCCAGTGCCCTAGCTGAGAGGAGATGCCCGGCTTCAAAGTTCACAGTGTGGATTTTTCTAAATAGAAATAGCCCTTATGTACAAGAAAATGTCCTTTCCAGAACAATCTTTCTCTCTCTCTGTCTCTCTTTTTTTTTTTCTTCATAGCACACAAATTGGTAGGTTTGGGGATACTTAATTTTTGGTGAATTTAGATGGCCACCTAGAATGCCTATGTGATCATTCCTTCATTTGTTTGTCAAATTTGTAATTAACTTACTGGATTTTGGTAAATAGGAAAAAAGAAAAAGGGAGAGATGAAGAGTTGCTTGATACTTAAATCCCTTGTGTTGGTTGCTGACAGTAGTTGCCTAATATCATCTCATTCCTTTCTGGACAGAACTTCTGGATTTTGTTCAGGGTCTCAGCAGTCCTGTGACTATTGCCTGAGGAACATAGAAGGAGTGCCAGGTATGATCTAACATCTGTGCCTTCTTTATGTCAGCATGGCATCCAATCATTTATAGGTGTTTCTTATTTTTTTAAACATGGGCAATATCTTAATAACCAAATGGCCTTATTTAGAGTTTCAAAGTCTTGCTTATTTCTATAGATTTTACTTCTGTGGGTCCCTAACTATCGACCTTTTTCCTAATGTCTATATTCTGTATGTAAACAAGAGAACGAAAAGAGAGAGACAGAGAAAGAGAGAGACAGAGAGAGAGAGAGAGAGAGACAGAGAGAGAGATGATAGTCGGGAAACGTAAGTACCTAATATCACAAAACTGATATTTATTAAAATGATATTAATTTTTCTACCCTTTCCTAATGTTTTTTAAAGAAAGTTAGCGTCGTGAATACTCAATAAATAGTAATATTCCATTCCACTTTGTAATGGCTCATGAAACTCCCTAAAAGATTGTGGATGCATATTTTTTACTTTCCATTAAATCATAAAAATAATAGATTGACACTTTCAGTTTCTCAAACTGTTTTTTAAACTTTTTATTGTAATTTTTATTTGTATCAGATAGAATCTTGAGAATAGCATTAACTATTCAAAGAACTAACTTCATCATTCAGCAGTATCTGATTAACCTTTGGCAGAAAGTAATACACTTGACAATACTTTTCAAAAATTTTCCACCATACAGATTGAAATTTTTACAAGAGCAATGTCTCATACCATTGCAGAAGTAGACACCTATAACTGAAATGCTGAAGAGCACTTATAACTTCAAATAAAAATCTATAGACTTAGCTAACCTTTCAAGGACAAAAACTTTGACCTCTGAAAAAAAGAAAAGAAAAGAGAAAAATGCTTTAGGAAAAGTATCAGAGTCCAAGAAATGCTTTTCTCCTCAGATCTTGGAGAAAAATATCACCTAGATTAAGAAGCAGAATAGAGTTTTTTTACACTGCAATAATAAATTCAGAGGGCTTGAAGATTACACCACATTTTCCCCAGTTCAATGTTCGCCCCTTTCATGACCAAGGACATCTTCAGTCAATCATCAAATAACAATATGTTTTAACCCTAAATACCCATGGGTCATCTTTTAGGCATGAAAAATAGCTTTATGATTAAGGTCGATTTTTACTAAAATCACATTATTTATTAAATACTTTTTATAAAAAATAGAATTCTAATTTCTTTTACAAATATGGACTTAGATGGATTGTTCCCTCTAAAGGAATAAAGTGAAACTCCACAAACTTCTCGAATGTGCAGGTCCCAGTCAATTAGATGTCTCATTTATTTTTAACTTTTCTATGCCTCAGTGGATGGTGTCTGGAACAACCATCTGCTAAGGCATAGAAAAGTTAAATATAATTTATATAATTTTCAATAACAATAATATGTTGTAGGAATCATCATTCTTTTAAGTACATATTATTTGGGAAAGAGTGATGTGGTTTTCTTGGGTTTCCTGAATGATGAATAGCATTTCTGCAGGTGACTAGTGAGAGGTATTGTTTGAGGTTATAAAAGAAATTGGAGGGGAGACAGAGAAACAGATTCACCTTTATTGGTCAACTGGGGAAGCACAGATGCTTTTTAGCAAGGAGTTACATTAAAAAGTCATGAAGCATCACCTGTTATTGGCATTTGATTTGACTGGAGGCAGAATAATAATTCAGCTATGACATTATTTTAGCAATTGAGACAATGTGGAAACAATTTGAAAAAAGACAAAGAAGAAGCATTAAAGATTTAACTTAATCAGATTAAGAAATCACTAAATTTGGAGGCTGGTGGAGATTTGTGATAAAAGAAAACAGTGAGCCCAAGATTACCGAACCCAGGTCCTCATGGAAGGTGTCACCAACTACAGTTGCCCAGAATGAAATACCAAGTAAAGTATCATAGATAACAGAGCTCAGCAAAGTTCTTTCCTGAATAGTCAGATAGTAAATATTTTGGCTTTGCTAAATGTGAACCTGAAATTAGCTATCGCAACTACTCAGCTCAGCTGTTCTAGGATGAAGAAAGCCAGAGACAATAAGTAAATAAACAGGCATGACTGTGCTCCAATAATATTTTGTTTACAAAAACTGGAAGTGGGATGGATTTGGCTTACAAGTCATAATTTGCCGCCTATGTAGTTATCAATTTTGAAATAAAAACTATCAAATGAAATGTCAAGTAGCCTATAGAGATTTACCTGCAGCTCAGGCAAAATAGAAACAGATTTACAATGAACGGTTTAGAAATAAGTTGACAAAGGATGTGTATATTTTAATTTTGTTACTTTTATTAATATATATATATCTTCAACTCTGGGGATAGCACAGATTACCACTCATGACAAAGAGGAGATTTGATTAACTGAGGCTGAGAACAATCTCGGAACGGGTGATAGTGTGTGGCACTTCCGGAATGATGGGATCGGTTAAGAGCATTTTTGGCCTAATGGCGTTACTTCTTTGCAGGCATTTTTAGCTGATGTTTTGGCATTTACTCTTTAAGTTTGCCTTCTCAGAATAACCTCCTTTAATGTTGCACCATGTTTCTCTCCGTCATGATGATGCTGTAAGAATATAGTGAAATGTATCCTGTTTGCATTCACTTTTACTCTGAGAATGATGAGAAGAGTCATTAAAGGATTCCCTCTGGAGGTTCCAGACACAGTAGCTATCAAGCTGGTAATTCTAAGTGGGTTAGATGTTTGTGGATTAGATCACAACTCTACTGCTACTGTTAAATGTGCTTGCCTGTGTAATTCATGGGCCTGAAAGCCTGAGAATTTCACTTCTCAATGCTTGGCAGCTGGTTTCTGTTTAGGTTACTCCACTATAAAGTACTAGCAGGACATTGGAAGGTGAGTGAAACTATTTCCTCCCTTCTGCTTTTGGCTGTGACGCCAATGTCAGCAGTCCATCTGCAGCACCAGCAGCTTTTGCTATGACCCGGACGATATAGTAGAGATTTTATGGTTGTCTCTGTGGCAAGGTATCCTTTGTGTATCCTTTGTAGAAGATGATAACTACAGTACTCAAAACTCTTACTAAGTCTCTCATCCTACATCTGTCCAACTTTTCTCCTACATACATAACTTGGGTCCCAGAAACATGCATTGCAAGGCCTCTGGGTTGCATGCTGTCCTGTCTGATATGTCAGCTGCATCCCTCAGGACCAGAGAGACGGCAGGCCCCCGAGAGGAGCTATCCATCTCCTCCACCTCCTCTGCACCACTCTGTGTGCTATAATTTCTTCTCAAGTGTGGTGTCAGAGTGATCCCTTAAAAAGCTAAGTCACAAAAACCAAAGTCCTACCTAACAATGACTTATTCATGAGGTGACCAGCTCCCTCCCTTGTTACCACTCTGACTTATCTCTTATTATTTTTCCCTCATTCACCTTGCTGCAATCATTTTACCTTCCGTGCTGTTTGCTGTTCCTCAAGCATTCTGGACACAACACTGCCTTAGAGGCTTGTTCCCTCTTCCCTCAGGTTCCTCATGGCTGTTCCTTATGGACATTCTCTCCCCATGTTCAAGTATTGGATCAGAGTTATGTTATTAGCGCCTCCTCTGATCAAGCTATTTGTAGATACAAACTCTCCCCTAGCCCCAGCACCACAGTCTCCTTTTTTTGCACTATCAATGTCCATAAAATTCACTATGTTTGAGCACATAATAAAATTCAGCAAAAGTTAGTTAAATAAATTGACATTTAATTAAATTTACTGAATATTTTATAAAACGTAAACTGACAATTCTAGCATTCAATGTCCCTCTAGTTCCCAAGATCAAGACCTGGAATCACACTACCAGTGTGTTATTTCAACAATGCCAACCACAAATAAATACTCGGGAGAAATCTTTGCACATATAAAAGGAGAGACATTTACAAAAATGATCGTAGCAGCACTCTCCACAGAATAAAAGTATGGAAGAACTTAAAATAGGAGAGTAGGTGCATAAACACTAGGATAGTCGCTCAATAATGCAAGATTATGTGGCAAAGTGAATGGATTATATGGCATCCAAAAACATCGATAGATCTTACTAATATAACTTACAGTCTGTAAAAAAATAAAAGAGAAATTTGATTCTTAAGTATTATAATTTTTTTCTCAGCGACCAAGCCCAACTGAGCAGAATACTCAATTAGATTTCAAATTTTGCTTTCTGTTTGTTTTTTCTATTTATTTTAAATAAGTAATTTTCACTTTTTGGTTCATTTGTATCTTATTTTTCTCTTTTTTTCCTCTGTGCTCATTCTTTTTTAAATAACGAGTATGTGGTTAGCTTGCCCAAGGACAACGAAGTGCAGGCCATACTTTTGCCAGTGTCATGGTGATGGTGATATTTTATAGACAGAATCTCTGTGACAGCTGAAAATTGTTGGTTTTCTCTGTAGTGTACTATCCTTCCTCCCTAGGCTCAGAGTTTGCTAGCCTTGGGCTACTTACTGAGAGGTGGTACAACCACATCCCAGCTTCAAGCCTTGAGACTATCGCTGGTCCCGAATCCAGCATGGAGCACTTCCATACCTCTTTATCCCTTTAGGGTCAAACCATCACCACTCTTTCCTGCTTTCATAGCACAGAAAATCCAATGCTCATTTCTAATCAT
Source organism: Homo sapiens (assembly GCF_000001405.40). Classification (NCBI taxonomy): domain Eukaryota; kingdom Metazoa; phylum Chordata; class Mammalia; order Primates; family Hominidae; genus Homo; species Homo sapiens. Next base: position 179,956,252 of record NC_000004.12, on the reverse strand, counting down.
CACTTTATTTATTCCTTCTTTTTCTAATCTACAAAGATATTGTTTCTGAATCTGGCTATTTTTAAAAAATTATTTTGCCTACAATTGCTGTTTGAAACAGGAGATGTATCAAAATATACATTTGTTATGCCACAATTTTTGTAAAATCTTAAGCCAAGGATATTTTTATCCTATAAAGTACATCAATTAATAATTCTTTGAACAACAGAATTTACAGAAGTTTTAGAATTTATAGGGTGTTTAGAAATTATTCATTCTAAAATACAACAGGAAAAAACTGAGAGAAATTGACAATGTTGACTTTCTAGCTTCTCTTTGTCTTTAAGATGAATTCATCTTGTAAACTGAAAGACATATTAATTTTTCTTAATTGAAATAACATAATTTCTAGAAACAATTTTTAAAGAGAAAATTGTAAAGAAGGTCAGCTATTTTGTGAAATGCAAAAATTAGACTAAAATACCTCAGTCAAATAGATGTCTACTTCTGAAGAATTAGTTATAAAAGTGCTTCTTCAAACTTCTCACTTAGAAAGTGTGTATCCAATTAACCATTGCCTTGAAGGCTTTTACTCGCATCTCTTGAAGTAGAGGTCAAACAGAGGGTTAATTGGAGATTTCAAAGCGGAATTTTTGGAAAAATTAAAGTATTGCTCTGAGAAATTTGATTTTTTTAATAGATATCTTGTAATTTTCCTGAAGCTATATTCACCAATGACTTCACGTAAGTAGTTTTGTATTGACAGAAAACACAGGGTACTAAAAGATATATTAGTTAAATTACTTCACCAAATGCATTTTCAATTCAGTAGGAGTGTTTAATCATGGATTAAAAGTGGAAATATTTATGGCATTGAGGAAAATGGTATCCTTGTTATTTAACCTTAACTACAAGATCATGTCAACCCCAAGTACAAAGTTAACCGTATTCTGATATGCAGCTCAGCTGTAGGCTACTATTTAAAAGATAACTTTTGGATGTCCTAAGACTATTGTTATCTTGAATAATTTATTACCACCGGCTTCCTGTATTTCATCATATTTTACTCTAAAAATCACCTTTTCCAGAGAGGGCAGTGACATTAGCTTGTTTCCTATCATTTAGTTACTGCTAGAGTCTCTCCGGCATTACTACACAAACATACAAGAAAAGCAACTGAATTCTCTTGTTAAGTACGGACTCAGATCAAATTGGAATAGGATGAAAAAACAGCCTGACTTTCTGTAATGGTTCTTTTGTTTGGGGACACACTCTTTCCTTCTTATTAAAAAAAAAAAAATAGGGAGAACATCCATAAAGAAGAGTCCCATTTTTATCCTACAATTTACTAATATGATTACCTTTATAGAGTATAGCTTCCCAGATTTGTGTGGACTTATGCTAAGGCATAAGCATTACGATTAGACAAAGACAAGAAAACCCCAGATATCAAACTATCACACACGCGTGCACACACACACACACACACACACACACAAAGGTATTTTAAAAATGATATTAACATCTCTGGCACTGGGATTCAGTAAGCAATGATGGATCAATGCAACTTATAGACCTTCAGGCCCAGAAAAATATTTCTAAAATTTCTTGCCCATTGTCTTCAAACAAAAATTTACTATGTTCAAATGCCATGACTTTTGTATTTTATGCTTCCACCCTTGTTGAAGATAGACTCTGATTTGTACTTCAGGGAGGGATTTAGGAGCTAAAGAGCTTAGTAAGATAATCTTTTTCTCTGAATGAATGAAATAGATCTTTCTTAACAAAGTATTTTTTTCTTAGAATTGTTGAAAGTCCATTTTCTTATTCATATTTGTGTTTCAATGTGTGATCCTGAGGGCATTCAGAAATTATTGAAGTATTCTGCTCAGTTGGGCTTGGTAGCTGAGAAAAAAATTATAATACTTAAGAATCAAATTTCTCTTTTATTTTTTTACAGACTGTAAGTTATATTAGTAAGATCTATTGATGTTTTTGGATGCCATATAATCCATTCACTTTGCCACATAATCTTGCATTATTGAGCGACTATCCTAGTGTTGATGCACCTACTCTCCTATTTTAAGTTCTTCCATACTTTTGTTCTGTGGAGAGTGCTGCTATGATCATTTTTGTAAATGTCTCTTCTTTCATATGTGCAAAGATTTCTCCCGAGTATTTATGTTCCCATTTGCATTTAGCAAATAAAGCTCAAAAATTTTTATAGGACTGCAAAATATATCTGGGACATACAAGGTAAAATGTATAGCATCTGACACCCAATCAAAAACTATGAATCAGTCAAAAAGGCAGGAAACTATAACCCATAGCCAGAAGAGGAGAAAAAAACATCGATTAACATTGACTCAGAAATGATACAGATGGCAGGATTACTAGATCAGGACTTTAAAACTAACTGTATCCTATATCCCATCAAGAAACTAGATTAAAGAATAAACATATTAATGTGATATATGAAATAAATTACAAAGTAATACAATTGAAGGCATAGTAAAAAAAAACTATCAAAAAGTAAATGGAAAGAAAAAGGACTGAATGAAAAAAAATAAACAGAGCATTGGTAAAGTGTGGAACAACTGCAAGCAACCAAATATATGGGTATTAGAGTTCCATAGAGAGGGAGGAATTGGGTAGATACATTTAAATATATAATGGCCAAAGATATTCCAGTGCAAGTAAGAAGATAATAGTACAACATCTTTAAAGTACTGGGGCAAAAAGGAAAAGTCACCTTATAATCCTTTACTAAGAGAAAATAAATTTTAGAAAATGAAGGCAAAACAAAGATCTATACAAACATAGATAACCAAAAAACTTCATCACAAGATGACTTTCATCGAAAGAATTGTTAAGTCTGGGTGCGGTGGCTCATGCCTGTAATCCCACCTACTTGGGAGGCTGAGGCAGGAGAATCGCTTGAACCTGGGAGGTGGGGGTTACAGTGAGCTGAGATTGCACCACTGCACTTCAGCCTGGGTGACAGAATGAGATTCCATCTCAAAAAAAAAAAAAAAAAAAAAAAAAAGAAATGTTAAGTCTTTCAAGCATAAGGAAAATGATACCACATGGAAACCTGGATCTATACAAGGAAACACAGAGTATCAAAAATAGTAGCTTCGTTAGCAAATATAAATATTTATTTTTATTATTTAAATAATTAAAATATAATTCACTTCTTACAAAAAGGATAACACAATGTATTGTGGAATTTACAACATCTATTGAAATAAAATATACAACAGTATAAAAGCTTTGAAGGGCTAAATGGAAGTATACTCTTGTAAAGATACACTGTATGTTAAGTGGCATAGTATATTTGAAAATAGATTGTGAGAAGTTAGAATGTATACCCTAAACTTTATAGCAACTACAAAAATAATACAAAAGACTCATAGATAGAAAGTCAATACAGGAAATAAAACAGAATAATAAGAAAATACTAATCCAAAATAGGCAGAAAAATGAGAAAATGGAACAAAGAATGATGGGACAAAGAAAAAAAAACAAATAATAAGATGGTAAATTTAAACATAACCCTATCAATAATTACAAGTAAATGGTCTAAACAATTAAACACAAAGATTGTCATACTGAAATTAAAAGCAAGCATTAATAACTGGCTGCCTGTAAGGTATCTACTTTATAAAGATGTAAATAGGTTGGATGGAAAAAGTGTAAGGATGCAAAAAGTGTAAGAATGTCAATGGATACACTATGCTAATACCGATGAAAATAGCATTCAAGGCCGGGCGCGGTGGCTCACGCCTGTAATCCCAGCACTTTGGGAGGCCGAGACGGGCGGATCACGAGGTCAGGAGATCGAGACTATCCTGGGTAACACGGTGAAACCCCGTCTCTATTAAAAATACAAAAAAAAAAAATTAGCCGGGCGTGGTGGTGGGCGCCTGTAGTCCCAGCTACTGGGCAGGCTGAGGCAGGAGAATGGCGTGAACCCGGAGGCGGAGCTTGCAGTGAGCAGAGATCATGCCACTGCACTCCAGCCTGGGGGACCGAGCGAGACTCCGTCTCAAAAAAAAGAAAAAAGAAAAAAGAAAAAAACATTCAAGGTGGCTATATTAATAGCAAGGTATTTTTCAAAACAAACAATAGTAACAGAGATAAAGAGGATAATGAAAATGTGGCCAATTTATTAGGAAAACATAGAAATTCTAAGCATTGCTTACAAGTAGCAGAAATTTAAAATATATAAAGCAAAAAGTGATAAAACTGAAAGCATAAATAGACAATCCCACAACACTAATCTCAAAATAATTGATAGAACATGTAGACAGAAAATCAGTGAGGATATAGAGTACTTGAAAACTCTATCCACCAACACTTTGTAATTGACATTTTATAGAACATTCCACTAAACAATTGAAGGATACACATTCTTATCAAGTGCATACAGAACATTTACCAAGACAGACTATATTATGGGCCATAAAATCAATAAATTTTAGATAATATAATTATTACAAAATATGTTCCTTAAGTATAATGCAGTTAAATTATGAATTAATAACATAAAGATATCTAGAAAATCTGCAAATATTTGGAAACGATATAAAACTCATGGAGAGTCAACTTGAAGTTATTTGTCTTTCATTTAAGTGAGGATATTTAACATGATTTTTCATTTATTTCTAGCCACATTCAGCTAGAGAATTGGATTTTAACTATGGTTGTGTTTTACCCAAACAACCAACATGAAAAGAGAGAGGAGAAAGATTGTTAGGGATATATACAATTAATTTATTACAAAAGGGGATCTTGGACATTACAGAATATATAAATGGTAAGACAGTATATAAAGGAAGAGAGCTAGAAGGATCCCCAGTAAGGATAAAGGGTAGCTGGCATTGGGGATGGAGTTGGAAAGACAGCAGTGGTGGTCAGAGAGTAACTCTTGAAGTTTTTATTATAAAGAGTTTGCAATTATTGCTATTGATAATTGTTCAAATTAAAAAATAATTTCAGGTTGATAAATAAATGTATTCAGAAGGAGGAAAGGTGAAAATCTAGAGAGTAACATTTAAAATTCAGACACCATAAAAAGGCAAAAAAATAAGTGGAGAATGGAAGAATGTATTTATAACATGTGTAATTAATAAAGAAACAGAAAACAGAAAATAAGAATGCCAAAAGAGTAATAATAAAAAAAACACTCATAGACATATGGACAAATACTACGAATAAGCCACTCAAATTTATATACCTGAATTTATGTGCTATATCTATAGCACATACATAATATCTATAGCACATACATAATGCTTAATCTCATTAAGAAAGAAAGAAAGCACATTTAAGAAAATGAAATCCCTCCTTTAGGCAAGAATTCAAAAGGTTATTTATCCCAATACATAGAAATGTAAGAATTCTCACATTGGTTGGAATATGAATTTGTCAATCACTTTAGAAGGCAAGTTGGTAAAATCTAGAGAAGCAGAAGAGATGCATAGGTTATAAGCCAGCAATTCCAATTCTGGATAAATACTCAAACGTATGTATGTCACTAACTCTAACATTATTAACAATGTGTAGAAACCATGATAGCCACTAAAGGGAGAATAAGGAAATCAATGGAGATGTTGTTATACAATAAATTAAAATATTGCATTTGAATTAAACAAACAAATATCAACATTGGGAGATTTCAAATGCAAGACTCAAAAAATGTAAGTTCAGGGTAATTCTGTTTATATTAGAATTCCAATTAAAATCAATTTATACAATATTAGTGTTTGTGTATATGTATAAATAGAGCTGTATAAAAACAGTATACAATAAACACAAAATGGAGATTTCCTCCGGGAATGGATAAGAATGAAATTGCAGAGTATATGGGAAGTAAAAGCTGACCTCAACTACTCTGTTTCATTTTTGTAAAAAACATCTTAGAGAAATATCAAAAATGATCAGATTTGTTTTTAACTGGTTGATGGATATAGAGTTAGAGTAGTTATCCTTATATTTGCTTTTATGTTTGAAATATGTCATTGTAAAAAGAATATTTGAAATGTCGGTATAGCTTATTATCTGAATGTCCTTAGAGGGATATTCAGGGAGTACTATGACATCTGGATGAGCTATAGTAACTAATGAAATTAATGTTATTGACTTAATATGGAAACAATTATATTGGTAGGAGACAATTTATACTCTCACAAATGCAATGTGAAATTTGAGTTTTCGTGTGTGTCAACATCATTAGATACATCACTTGGTAATACTTTCTTTTTTCTATGATACTTGTTGGAATTCTCTTATACTATGAAACAATTTATTCTTAATAGTTACAAATATTTTCTTAAATGTTATGAATACAATATTTCATGTAAAAAGTGGATTTCTGGCCAGGCATGGTGGCTCATGCCTGTAATCCCAGCACTTTGGGAGGCTGAGGCAGGCAGATCACCTGAGGTCAGGAGTTCGAGACCAGCCGGTCCAACATGGTGAAACCCCTCTCTACTAAAAATACAAAAATTAGCTGGGTATGGTGGTGGGCACCTGTAATCCAAGCTACTTGCGAGGCTGAGGCAGGAGAATCGCTTGAACCTGGGAGGCAGAGGTTGTAGTGAGTCTAGATTGTTCCCTTGCATTCCAGCCTGGGCAACAAGAGTGAAACTCCATCTCAAAAGAAAAAAAAAAGTGAATTTTTTTAGCAACAAATATTTCTAAAAGTACCTCTTCTAACGTAATCACATTATTAAGACATTCTTATTTGATGTTTTTCAAGTTCATGAAAATTATTTTATCTTAAAGCTAGGATTTATAAAATATACAATGAGTCTATTAAAAAATAAATATTTCAAATAGTGATTGATCAATGTATTTGCAGAAATTGTGTAAAAAGATTTCCATCTGATTTGTGAAATAATCAGATTTCCATCTGATTTGTAAAACATTGCAGTAAATGAGAGGAAGACGTTATATATTATGCCTGTTAATCTGTATACGTTTCAAACAGTTGAGATAATCTTAATATTTCTCCTTTAATCAAAGGGAAAACTTTAACATAATTGAACAAGCTAAAAATTTCTCATTATTTCTTCTATGTTTTTGTTTATTGAGGTTATCTTCACTTTTGATTTTTTTTGAGATTCAGAAGAATTTTATTTAAGTTCTGATAGAAATATTCCTCATTTTAGCAATATTTCTTTTTTAAAAGTTTCTACACACATATACACGGAGCTGTCTCTCATAGGGAAATGTTAATAGCTGTTACCATCAACAGTAAAATGTATTTTGCACATTATTCATTAGTAAAAAATTTATACTCTAACTTTTGTTTGTTAAGTAATCAGAATGACATTCATGGATGACTGGAAATATTTGAAGTGATATCTTTTGTACTTAAAAATTAACTTCTTGTGTTTCTAATGTAAGCTTAGTGATGCCAGACTGCTTTAATTATTAAGAATTTTCAGCAATGAGACTACTCAGTCTGGACTCTTATTTATCTCCATTTCTTTCCACAATCATTAGCATAATTTTGGAAAGATTTTCTAATAGGAAAGAAAGGTTAAGAACAATAAGTACAAGTTTTATAATGTTTAAAAGTGTGTTAACACACTAAGAAATAAATTCAATATTTTGTGGAAGTCTTGGGAAGCCTTCTGTGATTTATGGATGGCTGTGGCTGTATACTCAGTGGTATTATTCCAATGAAACAGGAAAAAATATTTGGAAGAGCTTACAAAAATAGTTACTAATAGCTATGCTTCTGTTTTGATATTGTGGCTTGAAGGAAAATAGGAGTAAAGTGGTGAAACAAAGGAGACAATCAAAAGTTTCTATCAGCAAAAGTGATTAAATTTTTATCATTCCCGTGACATTGGAGAGGTTCTGGGGCTTGTCCTTCCTCCAATAACCTATGTATTTCAGTTTGTGGGCTAGAAACACAAAGCCATCACCAATAACATTGGCTTCTCAATAATTAAGTAAAATGATCTCAATTCTGCCACCAGTGATGATAAACCAGATTTGAGGTTCAGAAAGATTACAGGTTTATAAATTCTGGACACTCAGCCCTTCAGGGCTATCAAAGTGACCACAATCATGATAGGTTTTCCCCAGCCTGTACCTGCATTTGTGCAGGTGATGTTTGAACCTAAGCAACCACCTTCATGGTTATATTATTTGATTAACAAACACTGTCTGGATAAAACTATTGAATTGGCCAGAAATATGACTTGTATTTAAGTCAGGGCTAAAGAATGCAATGGTTTTGTGACCTTATGAATGCCAATTTACTAATCTCTGTGTCTATTTCTTATTTCTAAATGCATATATTTCTATTTTGAGGAGGTCGATGGCAAGAAACTCAAAATAAATAATTTGTGTTTGTTTATGACAAGAGATTCTATTATAGTAAAGGGATGAGTAGCATTACACATAGAAGAGGGGATGAGACAAGCTCTCAGAAAAGTGAAGGGTGAAGTTAAAGAAAAAATGAAGTTCAGCGCACACGTGGAAAGAGTTTGCAGTCTCGGTATGAGCCCTCTGCTCACTAACGCACTTTGAGTTTTTTTAATTTTTTCAGTTCTATTAAGTTTATAATTGACAAATGAAATTATATATATTTAAAGAGTACAATGTGATGATTTGACATATGTAAAAATTGTGAAATGATTACCATAATCCAGGTAATTAACACTTTCATCACCTTATATAGTTAATTTTTTGGGGAGGGGGTAAAACTATTAAGATTACTCTTTTAGCAAATTTCAAGTGTACAATGCAATACAGTATTGTTCATTCTAGCCACCATGCTGTACATGAGGTCCTCAGAACATATTCATCTTATAACTGAAAGTTTGTACTCTTTGACCAACATGTCCCCATTTCCCCCTTTTTAACCTCTGGAAACTACTGTTCCACTCTCTGCTTCCAGAAGTTTGAATTTTTTTAGATTCAACATACGAGTGAGACAGTATTTGTCTTCATTGTCTGGCTTATTTCACTTAGCATAAAATCCTCTGGTTTTGTCCATGCTGTTGCAAATGGTAGAATTTCCTTCTTTTTTCATGGCTTAATAATATTCCATTGTCTATATTACCATGTTGTTCTTATTCATTCATTTTTCAACAGACACTTAAGTTGTTTTCTGTATTGTGACTATTGTGAATAATTCTGCAATAACGGGAGTGCAGATATCTCTTCAACATACTGGTTTTGTTTTCTTTGAATATGTACTCTGACGTGGCATTGCTAGATCCCATCGTAGTTTGGGTTTGTTTTTTAAAATTTTTGAGGAACCTCCACACTGGTTTTCATAATGGCCACATCAATTTCCAATTCCACCGACAGTGTATGAGAGTTCTCTTTTCACCACATTCTTGCCAACATTTGTTATCTCTTCTCTTTTATAATAGTCTCCTTAAAAAGTGTAAGGTAACATTTCATTGTGATTTTGATTTGCATTTCCAGAATGATTAGATTCTATGTTCAAAAATTATCTCTCATGTAAAAAAAATGTTAGTTTTGCAGATTTAGACTTTGAAAAATTTAATTTTACCTTACCCTCTTTTTAAAAGTGGGTACTCTGTCTGCTATAGTTTGAATGTATACCGTGAAAGTTCATACGTTGAAAACTTAACTGCCATTGTAACACTATTGGGAGGTGGGTTTTTAAAGCAGTGATTAGGACATGTGGGCTCTGCCCTTGTGAATGGATTAATGCCGTTATCATGAGCATGGCTTCCTCCTAAGAAGCTTGAGTTCAACTCCCTTCCCTCTCTGTCTCGTGTGCTCACTCCTGTCCTCCACCTTCTGCCATGGGGTGACCTCCAGCAGATGCCAACACCATGCTCTTGGACTTCCCAGACTCCAGAAATGTCAGCCATTTAGACGTCTGTTGTTTATAAATTGCCCAGTCCATGGAATTGTTATAGCAGCAGAATACAGACGGAGACTATACCTCATACAACTTTTTAAAAATATATGCTGCCTTACACATAGATATTATCAGTTTTTTGGATTAACTTTGCCTGAATTGATGGCTTTTCAAACATTGTATTATTTAAAAATTTCACTTATGCTACATTTATGCATTCTATCATCTATATTTCTCTTTTTAAATAACCATACCACATGGATAGCATCTCTTTGGTTGGATGCAGGTGCACACTAAGTGAAAGAGTTTTTAGAGGTGAGCAAGGATTCTATAGGACAAAATTTCATAATATTAAATAATACAATTAATCATTAGTCTTCAACTTGAAAATGCATTTTGGCACTCTCATATATACAGGGGAACTCCCATTTATAAAACCGTCAGATACCGTGAGACTTATTTACTCTCACGAGAACAGCATGGGGGAAATGGCCCTTGTGATTCAATTGTCTCCACCTGGTCTGGCCCTTGACATATGGGGATTATTACAATTCCAGGTAGGATTTAGGTGGGGACACCTGCCTATGAGTCCCTTCTGCCTATGAGCTTGTAAAATCAAAATCAAGTTAGTTACTTCCTAGATATCATGGTTGTACAGGCATTGGGTAAATACACCCATTCCAAATGGGATAAACTGGCCAAAATAAAGGGGCCACAGGCCCCAAGCTAACCCAAAATCCAGTGGGGCAGGCAAATCTTAGAGCTCCAAAATAATCTCCTTTGACTCCTTGTCTCACATCCAGGTCATGGTGACTCCCAAGCCTGGGCAGCTCCACCCCTGTGGCTTTGCAAGGTACAGCCCTCCACTCCTGGCTGGTTTCATGGGCTGGCATTGAGTGTCTGTGGCCTTTCCAGGCACACGATGCAAGCTCTCAGTGGGTCTACCATTCTGGAGTCTGGAGGGCGGTGGCCCTTTTCTAACAACTCCAATAGGCAGTGTCCCAGTGGACACTCCGTGCAGGTCCTCCAACCCCATATTTCCTTTCTGCACTGCCCTAGCAGAGGCTCTCCATGAGGGCCCCACCCACTGCAGCAAACCTCTGCCTGATATCCAGGCATTTCCATACATCCTCTGAAATCTAGGCGGAGGTTTCCAAACCTCAATTCTTAACTTCTGTGTACCCACAGTCTCAACACCACATGGAAGCTGCCCAGGCTTGGGGCTTGCACATTCTGAAGCTAAGGCCCAGTTGTACCTTGGCCCCTTTTAACCATGGCTAGAGCAACTTGGAGGCAGAATGCCAAGTCCCTAAGCTACATACAGCAGGGAGGCTTTGGGCCCGGCCCATGAAATCATTTTTTCCTCCCATGCTTTTGGGCCTGTTCCAGGAGAGGATGCCCGGAAGAGACATTTTCCCCATTGTCTTGGTGATTAACATTTTACTTCTTATTACTTATGCAAATTTCTGCAGCTGGCTTGAATTTGTCCCCAGAAAATTGTTTTTTTTTTTTTCTCTTGCATTGTCAGGCTGCAAATTTTCCCAACTTGTATGCTCTGCTTTCTTTAGAATGTTTTGCCACTTAGAAATTTCTTCTGCCAGATACCCTAAATCATCTCTCTCGAGTTCAAAGTTCCACAGATCTCTAGGGCAGGGGCAAAATGCCACCAGTCTCTTTGCATAGCAAGAGTGACCTTTACTGCAGTTCTCAAGTTCCTCATCTCCATCTGAGACCACCTCAGCCTGGACTTATCATCCATATCACTAACAGCATTTTGGTCAAAGCCATGCAGCAAGTCTCTAAGAAGTTCCAAATTTTTCCACATTTTCCTATCTTCTTATGAGCCCTCCAAATGGTTCCAAAGTCGCTTCCAATTTTGGGGTATCTTTACAGCAGCACCCCACCCCCATTACCAATTTACTGTATTAATTTGTTCTCACACTGCTAATAAAGACATACCTGAGATGACATAATTTAAAAATGAAAGAGGTTTAATTCCACACAGCTAGGGAGGCCTCACAATCATGGCCAAAGATGAACGAGGAGCAAAGTTACATCTACATGGTGGCAGGCAAGAGGGCTTGTGCGGGGGAACTCTCATTTATAAAACCATCAGATCTGGTGAGACTTATTCACTACCATGAGAACAGTATGGGAGAAACTGCCCCCATGATTCGATTATTTCCACCTGGCCCTTCCCTTGACATATGGGGATTATTACAATTCAAGGTGAGATTTGGGTGGAGATACAGCCAAACCATATCAGCCACAATATCTTAAAATATCCCAAAATATTTCTACTGTCATAATTTAGAAACACAAATGATGATAAAATAACATTTTCATGAGATGTTTTATACAAACACAGCTGTTACTGAAGCATAGCTCTGTATCTAAATTGTCATTAGTAAATAACCTTTGAAAATGTCCTTGTTAATAATGTAGACTATGTTTTATAAAATTTGAAGGACAGGGATAAGTGCTGTTCAAAAATTGATTTCAAATTGTAAAATATTTAGGATTTTAATTTAATATCAAATTAATGTATTTGAATTGAGCCTATATTAAAAGATGTACAGTCATATTCCATTTTGTTGTGTTTCACAGTTATTACACTTTACAAATTGAAGGTTTGTAGTAGTCCTGCATCAAGTAAATCTATTGGTGCCATTTTTCCAACACATGTGCTTTCTTTGTGTCTCTGTGTCACATTTTGGTAATTCTCCAAATATTGCAAAATTTTTCATGATTATAGTATCTTTTGTGATGATTTCTGATCAGTGATCTTTGATGTTATTGTTGTAATTGTTTTGGGGGTGCCACAAACCAACTTCAGATACAATGGCAAAATTAATGGATAAATGTGTGTTCTGACTGCTCCAATAATTGACCCTTTTTCCATTTCTCTCCTCCTCAAGTCTTCCTATTCCTTGAAACACAATGATTTTAAAATTAGGCTAATTAATAACCTTACAATGACCAGTTAGTGTTTAAGTAAAATGATATCTCTCAATTTAATTCAAAATCAAAAACTAGAAATCATTAAACATAGTGTCATGTCGAAAGTTGAGATCAGCTGAAAGTTAGACCTCTTGTACCAAACAGTTCACTAAGCTGTGACTGCAAAGGAAAAGTTCTTAAAGTAAGTTAAGTTTACTACTCCAGCAAACACGCAAAAGATAAGAAAGCAAAACAGCTATATTGCTGATATGGAGGAAGTTTGAGTGTTCTGGATAGAAGGGCTAACCAGCTGCTACATTCCCTTAATCCAAAACCTAACCCAGAGCAAGACTTCAACTCTCTTCAATTCTATGATGGCGAAAGAGGTAAGCAAGTTGCAGAAGGAAAGTTTTAAGTTACAGAGGTTGGTTCATGAGGTTTAAGAAAAGAAGCCATTTCCATAAAATAAAAGAGCAAGACGAAGCCATGAGTGTTGATGGAATAGCTGCAGCAAGTTTTTCAGGAGACCTGGCTATGATAATTGATAAAGGTTACAAAACCAATAGCTTTTTGATGTATACTAATAGGTCTTATGCCATCTAGGACTTTCATAACTACAGAGGAGAAGTCAATGCCTGGCTTCAAAGCTTCAAAGGACAGGCTGACTGTTTTGTTAGGGGTGAATACAGCTGATTACTTTTAAGATGAAGACAATGCTTATATCTTTCAAAAATCCTAGTGCCTTTAAGAATTATGCTAAATATACTTGGTCCATGGTCTAAGAATGGAAAAACAAAGCTTGGATGACAGCATATCTGTTTACAGCATGGTTAACTGAATATTTTAAGCCCATTATTGAGACCTACTGCTTAGGAAAAAAGATTACTTTGAAAAGATTATTGCTCATTGACAATACAGCTAGTCATGGAAGAGCTCTGATGGAGATATACAAGGAGTTAACATTGTTTTCATGCCTGCTAACACAGTATCCATTCTGCAGCACATGTATCCTGGAGTAATTTCAACTTTCAAGTCTTGTTATATAAGAAATACATTTCATAATGCTAGAAGTTGTATAGATAGTGATTCCTCTAATTAATGTGGTCATAGTTAATTAAAGCTGTCTAGAAAAAATGCACCATTCCAGAAGCCATTAAGAACACTTTTGATTCATGGGGCAATGTCCAAATATCAACATTAACAGGAGTGTGGAAGAAATTGATCCCAACCTTCATGAATGACTTTGAGGGGTTCCAGACCTCAGTGGAGGAATCAACTGCAGAGGTGGTAGAAATAGCAAGAGAACTAGAATTAGAAGCAGAGCCTGAAAATGTGACTGAATTGCTGCAATCTCATGAATGGATGAGGAGCTGCTTCTTGTGGCTGACCAAAGGAAGTGGTTTCTTGAGATGGAATCTACTTCTGGTAAAGATGCTGTGAACATTGTTGAAATAATAAAAAAAGGATTTAGAACATTACATAAACTTATTTGATAAAGCTGCAGCAGGGATTGAGAGCATTGACTTCAATTTGAAAAAATATTCTACTGTGGATAACATATTACCACACAGCAATGCATGCTACACAGAAGCCTTTCATGAAAGGAGGACTCAATTGATGTGGCAAACTTCACTGTCTTATTTTAAGAAATTGCCCCAGATACACCAGCCTTCAGTAACCAGAACCTTAATCAGTCAGCAGCCATCAATATTGAGGTGAGATTCTCTACCAGTAAAGGGATTCCAGCTCTCTGTAGGCTCAGATGGTCATTAGCCTTTTTCAGCAATAAAATAGTTTTAAATTAAGCTATGTACATGTTTTTAGGCATAATGCTAATGCACCCTTATGGACTACAGTATGTAGTAAGCATACATTTATATGCACTGAGAAACCAAAATTTTGTGTGACTTGCTTCATTGCAATATTCACTTTATTTCAATGGTCTATACTTGAACCTGCAATATCTATGAGGTATGCCTTTAAAAGACAGCTTGACAGACTGTAAAATTCGTGATAAAATTCATGTAAGGAATGCATTATGTATTGAATTTTCTTGGAAAACAGATTTCTATACTGATACATATCTGATTAAAATTATTTTATGAATTATATTGTGAAGAAAAGTCCAACTTTAAAAATTAATAGGTCATGTTACTTATTATTCTTTTACACCATATTATCCCCACAAATAACAATAAGTACCAAATAAGAACATCATAAAAATTCAGCAAAAGATAGTTCAGTGGACTTGGAATGTAAGCACTCACTGCATTTCAACAAACCCCTTAAGAAAAAGTTTTTGTTTTCTGACTTCTCATCTATAAATAAAGGAGGTTTATTTGATGAGCTACAAACTTACTTTTATATTCAAAATTCAATAATACAATATTTCGGTGATCTCTTTATCAATTAAATCATCACTTTTTCTCCCTAAACCTAAGCTAGCAAATATTGAAAGAAATCTGAAATGCTTTTAATAAGCAGACGTGTATGGGTGCGGTGGCTTATGCCTGTAATCCCAGTACTTTGGGAGGCCGAAGCAAGTGGATCATATGAGGTCAGGAGTTTGAGACCAGCCTGGCTAACATGGTGAAACCCCATCTCTACTAAAAATACAAAAATTAGCCAGGCATCGTGGTGCATGCCTGTAAGCCCAGCTACTCAGGAAGCTGAGGCAAGAGAATCACTTCAACTCAGGAGGTGGAGGTTGCAGTGAGCCAAGATCTCACCACTGCACTCCAGCCTATGCGGTAGAGCAAGACTTCATCTCAAAAAAAAAAAAAAAGTAACATTTTTCACACTTATTACTGATAGAGAAGGAGCACCATCATTTTGGACAAACATCGCCACCTTAAGTTCCAGCTCCCTTTCTAGCTTCATGCATTTCAGGGAAACCCCTTCTCTTCTAATTACAAGCAGCCATAAAGAACAGACAGTAAAACACAGATAAGACACCTCAGGCACAGAAGAAGGTGCAGGGAAAGTCTCTTGGGTAACTGTCAAACTTCACCCTCATACAACGGGCCCCAGTAAAACAGTGGGCCTTAATAAACACATTTATTTCCCTTCAGGTGCACTGAGATAAGGAAGATAAAAGCAGACTCGAGGGGTATGCCTGCAGCTGCAGAAAGATGTATGGGAACAAACATACAACCCTCCCTCCCAGATAAGTGCAACAACAACAACAACAACAACAAAACAAAACACAGAAAAAAGCCTCAGAAGAAATTCAAGCTTCTAATAAACTCTCCCATCCTGAATCCTGAAAAACTCTTAGTCTGTTAGAGATTGTGCCTCTAACTTAACTCAGCCAGATGCCCCTCTCGGGTTTGTTTTCTCTAAAATAAACCTATCTTAACTGGCAAGCCACCTTTCATGTTTCTTTCCTCATTCTTTAATTCTTAAAATCATAGTATTAAATTTTATTCTTAGTCCATTTACTAAAAGCTCTACATGTCAATATAGAATATGAAATTTATTTTCACAGTTAGTATAAAGACATATTGCTTAAAGACACAATATTCATGGGGAGATTGAAGATGATTAAAGTAGAGAAAAAAAAATTCCTCTTTCAGATAGTTAAATGTGATCACAGCATGTTTTTATTTAAGGGTATTGTGCTTGAATCTCTACCGCTAATACACTAGGAAGAAACGAATTTAAAATATAATTTTAAAATGTTACCTCATTTTCTGTTTTAAACTTTTGTATGTGCAGAAATTCTAAGAAGGATTGTTGTCCAACTTTGAAAGACAGAATCTGACATTTTTTTGAGGGAGTGGTTTGAGGGTCAATCACAACTAGAAACCAGAAAGAAAAATTAAAAACCAATTACAGCAAATAGTTTGCTTTTAAACTGATAAAGGCAGAATTGCCTGATAAAATGTTCATAATTCAAGACAAAGCGAGAGATTATCTTTTTCATTTAGTCTAATTAGAAATAACACTTCTTATCTTTTTAGCTCTTTATAGCTCCACTTCACTTACCCTTTAATGCATTTGGACATCCCAATCTATAAATCTTATCCTTTTTGTTTTTTAACTTGTACTCATCCAACTTTGGATGTTTCTTCACGTACTCAGTTTAGATTTCATGATCTTTTGTTAAAATCAGTCATTGCAAATACCCTCAACTCCCTTGTCCCCTTCTCTCACCTTCCTAATTACTGGCAAAATTATTATTAGCGAAACCAAACTAACCTTCACTCCATGTTTGCAACCCAAGTTGAAGAAATCCCACAACAATGTGGGCTGTTCTCACTTTAAAATCATGAACCATGAACACAGATTTTAGATTGGCAGTTATTTCTCAAACAGACTATTATATTTCTTGGTGAAATTTGATTTCACACTTTCTTAGATGATTATTTTGTAAATTATTCTCACTGCCCATCCATTTGCCTCCACTATACCCCTATTTGCCATCTGA
Source organism: Homo sapiens (assembly GCF_000001405.40). NCBI lineage: Eukaryota > Metazoa > Chordata > Mammalia > Primates > Hominidae > Homo > Homo sapiens. Next base: position 179,939,042 of record NC_000004.12, on the reverse strand, counting down.
TAACCCTTCCTCAAATTTCACTTTACCAATAAAATAGAAGAGGAAGATGACAAAAGCTAACACTAAATCTTGGAAGCCACATTCTCTTTGCCCACAGTTGTCTTTCCACATGATGTAGGAAATGCCTCAGTCTTCCTAACTTTGGCCTGCAGCTCTTATGCTTGGGATCCCATCTACTTTGCCTACTGAATACCCTCGTTTACACAAACACCCTTTCTTTTTTATGATTCATTGAATTCACCCTCCTAGTTCAGTACTCCAGTCATCTTGCAAACGACTATAATTCCTTCCTTGCAACCAATGCCCCCCTTCATTTGCTTGTCCATCTCTAGCAAATTATTTTGCTGTAATTTTCTGTATCAATTTACAGCAAAATTCTTTTTGTTATTAAAAACAACTTATTGTTTTTATATTTCTTAAAAATTTTACTTTAGACTTGGGGCACCTGTTGCAAGTTTGTTCCATTGTATAATGCTGAGGTTTGGGCTTCTAATGATCCTGTCACCCAAGTAGTGAATATAGTACCTGATGGGTAGATTCCCAATCCTTTCTATCCTCCCTCCCCCAACTCTTTTATAATCCTCAGTGTCTATTTTTTCCATCTTTGTGTCCGTGCTTAATTAGTGTTTAGCGTCCACTAGTAAGTGGGAACATGCAGTATTTAATTTTCTGTTTCTGTGTTAATTCGCTGAAGATTATGGCCTACAGCTGCATCCATGTCATTTACAGTAAAATTTCTTGAAGATGTCATATTTTATTTCTATCTCTACTGTTGCCACCTCCCACTCTCTAACCCACTACAGTCAGGTTTCTCTGCTGACGACTCTGTGAAAAGTCTTATCAAGGTCACCAAGAACTTTCCAATTGCCAATTTTAATAATATATTCTCTGCCATCATCCCACTCAGTCACTTAGTATCACTTGTTACATTTTAGCACTACCACAATTTGAAAACATTTATTTATATTCCTTCTATTTCCAGCATACATTCTTGGCTTCTTTACTACATCATAGGCTGACTCTTTTCAGTTTTTCATTTCTAACTCCGCTCTTGCCCTGGCATCCATTTTTAAAGAATGACCTACTGCTTTATCCAGGGTGCTCTTTAAAAATAAATCTAAAATTTTTATTTAAAACTGCCATATAGGAAATCACATCTTGTCCCACGACGATTAAGCAGAATCAGTATATTGATGTCTCCCAAATTTACAACACACTATACCAGCCTTAAATAGCTAAATATATTATATATGCACATGATCCCAGACTGACCTCTGAGAGCACTTGTAAGACTTTAGTGTCTTATAAGAACCTCAGAACCAACTAAACTTTGATTTTATAGCCAAATACTATTCTTTATTAAAATTCTTCATTACATTTTTTTCATTATGCCTAAGCAGGACTGAAACTTACATCCTGTTTTTCATGAGACCAAGAATTCTTGTCTGCCATTCCTTTTTTGAAAAACCACTCCATACTTGATCAATGAAAAATTTATTTTTTGTGCAATCAAAATATGTCCCATATTTTTTCCATTTTCTTTCCACCACTAAATTTCTATAAACCACTAACATCTCTCACTCTTGATTTTGCTTAGCCCCTGAGTTTCCCTATATATTGTCTTGATCTAAATTCTCTGAAAAAAAAATCAGTCTTTTTTTTTTTTTTATACTTTAAGTTTTAGGGTACATGTGCCATGCTGGTGCGCTGCACCCACTAACGCATCATCTAGCATTAGGTATATCTCCCAATGCTATCCCTCCCCCCTCCCCCCACCCCACCACAGTCCCCAGAGTGTGATATTCCCCTTCCTGTGTCCATGTGATCTCATTGTTCAATTCCCACCTATGAGTGAGAATATGCGGTGTTTGGTTTTTTGTTCTTGCAATAGTTTACTGAGAATGATGGTTTCCAATTTCATCCATGTCCCTACAAAGGACATGAACGCATCATTTTTTATGGCTGCATAGTATTCCATGGTGTATATGTGCCACATTTTCTTAATCCAGTCTATCATTGTTGTATAGTATTTCTTTTTTTGCAAAATTATTTGAGACAAAAATTTAAAAAAATGCAGAACAAACATTCCTATTCCCATTCACCAGGATTTCAACTTTTAAATTTTTTACAAATTTAAAAATTAAAAAATCTATCTTTGTCACTTACTAGCTTTACAATTTTTGGCTCATACAAACTCTGTGACCTTGGCAAGTTATACATTATTTCATCTTTTATATGATGGGAATTGTGCTACTATTATAGATGTGCTGTGATGATTAGCAAAGCTAACCATTTAAAGTATTCAAACAATTCCTGGTCCATAATAAGTAGTACTCAATAGATACTATTGATTATCATAATTAACATTGTACAGTTGATATGAGAACAACATGGGTTTGAACTGTTCATTTCCTAGAATGTGGTTTTTTTTTTTCACTAAATCAATTGAAACAACTTTTAAAGATTGTGACAATTTGAAAAACTACATAGCCCAGGAATATAAAAAAACAAGAAAAATTTGGTATGTCATGAATATATGTAGATACTAGTCTTTTTATGTGTTGATCAACTGTTTATGCCATCCTTAAGGTGTCTGGGCAAAAGTAGACTAAAAACAGTTAAGTTTTGGGGAAGTCAAAGGTTAAGCATGTGTGTGGACTCTGTGAAGATCGGGGACCTAATCCTTGCATTGTTCAAGGGTCAAGTGCATTCACTTCTATCTTATTTTTCATCTTTTGTTATCAATCTCACACACACACACAGAGCTCACAAACATGTATGTATATGTATATTATATATGTATATTTACAGTCAGCACTCTGTATCAGAGGATTTCACATCAGAGGATTTCTCATGAGAGGATTCAACCAACTCTGGGTCAAAATTTTTTTTTTAAAAAAAAGATTGTATCTGTCCAGACTTTTTTTTTCTTGTCATTATTCCCTAAACAGTATAGATTGACAACTAATAACATAGCATTTATATTGTTTTAGGTATTATAAGTAATGTAGAGACAATTTAAAGTATAGGAGGATCTGTATAGGTTACATGCAGATACTAGGTCGTTTTATATCACAGACTTGAGCATCCACAGATTTTGGCATCCACGGGAGGTCCTGGAACCAATCCCTCACAAATACCAAAGGGTGGCTGTATATAAAGATATGATGGTCATATAAATTTTGCACATTTTCAATAATAATAATATAAACATTAATATACTTACCTCAAACTTATAAAGTATGATACTATCTGTAGCTTTGAAAGGTGCACTCTTCTTACCATGACTTCATTTCCCGCTTCGTCTCAAAATAACACTAAGTTTACATTTATATCCCCTCCTAAGTTTTTCATTTAAGTTTTTCATTTGCATCTTATAACAAAGTTGTTTAACTTACACAAGAAGTGTAAGCTCCCTGGTTTGTTGTAAAGTTGTCACTAGGAAGCAGCTGCCTCTGTGAGAACTTGCCCCCGAGCTCCCTTGTATTTAGGTGGGGCGACATGACAAGTTCTTGCTTGACTGGACAATGAGTGGAAGTGATATGTGGCACTTTGGGAACGGAGTGGTTAAGAAGTGGGTGTGTTCTTCCTTGCTGTTTTTACCCCTCAGCTAGATGGGTGAGGAAGTATGTCACTGTAGAGGTGATGGAGTCTCTAAATGGAAGGAGTTATGTGTGTTCTAGAGAGTTTCATGAGAAAAAAAAATTATAAAATTTTGAGTTTTGAATATTGAAAACAGCTAAAAATACACAAAAAATATAGGCCTATATCCTTAAAAGGTGTTTATTTTAAAATTTTTGCCTGTTTTTGCACTTTACAAAAATACTTGCAATATGTATCATTCTGTGATTTGCTTTTATTATTCAAAACTATATTATTTCTCCTAGAAGTTTTCCATGCAAACATCTATAGTTTATTCACTTTTATTGCCCTATGATATTTTATTATATAAACGTACTAAATTATATTCATTCATGTATCTTTTGATTCAACTGGAATCTTTATAATATTTGATGGTATATCTCACCCATATTGTTTGATGAAATTTTACAACTCTGTTCCCAAAGGCCTTTTACATCATCTAACATAATTCAGAATTTGATTTGCTCTTGTAAAAATGTTGATGTTGACAAGATATGGAAACCTCCTTGGAAATAATTAGAAAAAAAAGAAATAATTATTGCCATGTATTTTTTTTGGTTAATCAGCCATTATAAACTTTTTTATTAACCCTAATAATTTATTTATAAATTTGTTGCATTTGCTATGCACATAACAATCCAATTGCAAATAACTAGAATTTTGTTTCATGCATATAATTCATTTCTTAGTAAACTGCCTAGAACTCCTAAGGAAAAAAAGAAAGATAAACAGAAGTGTAAATAGTTTGCGTTTTTATCTTCTAATCTTTAGGATCAAGATGCAAATGCAAACTACTTACACTTCTGTTTATCTTTTTTTTCCCCCTTAGAAGTTCTAGGGGAATAGATCACATAAAATCTGCTACTTGAATGTGTGGTGGAACTTGCCCTTAAAATTATTCAGCCTGTCATCTTCTTTGTGAAAAGATTTTGACTATAGGTGCAATTTTACTAATGATTACAAGATTATTTTTCTTTACTATTTCATTTTGAGTCAGGTTAGATAAGTAATATATTTTTCCCATCTTAGCTTTTAAATTTTTTTCACCAAATACTCAAAGATTTTAATCACTTTAAATTAGAAGTAATGGCCTCCTATATTATATAAAATATATTTCTTGTTCCTTATCTACTTTGTCTTACTCTTGGGACTCACACTTGGGTATTTTTAGTACTGTTTTAGTCTTTACCAAAAAAAAAATCTGTATTTTTATTCTCTAATTGCCAATTATTATTATTATTTAAATTTCTTTTGTTGTTTTCTGCTGACTGCTTTTACATTAAAATGGGATGCTAAGATCATTAATTGCGATTTTTTTCTTCATTTCTTTTGTAGGTTGATTGAATTTTCTCGTCTATGTTCTGCTTTAGATTTTTCTTAAAAATTTTTTGTAAGACCACTATACTGCAGCCATTGAAATTTTTGTTTTTTTTCTTGTTGAGGCATAATTTTATAAAGCAAAGTGCATGATGCGAAGTGCACAACTTGATGAATATTTTTAAATGTTACAGTTATGTAACTGCAGCACAGATCAAGGTATAACACACCTCCAGTACCCCAGCTGGCTCCCCGAAGTCCTCTCAGAGTTAAGCCATGCTGTCCAAAGGACACTATTATTTGTTTTGGAAATCAATTTCCAAAGAATTATGTAACGTATGTTCTTTTTGTCGAGCTTATTTCACTACACATTTTTACATTGCTCTAGATCCTTATAATCACTAGCTATTGTCCTTATCAAAATAATCTGATAGTCTAGTGAAATCATTTGTAAGTTTTGATTGATAGAAGATTCCTTATTGCTTAATTTTAACTCTTTTTTAAATTGTAATTTTATTTTGATCATTAACTAGAAGTGTGCTTTACATTTCAACCATATATAAATGATCTAGATATGTGTTTGTTACTGACTGTTTTCTGTATGATTCCAATAATTAGAAGGGCATATATATGCTCCTGGCTTTTTGAATCTTTTTACTTTATAGTAGTGATCCATATAAAGCTAACACTTATGCTTTATTTCTAATTTGTTTGATAATTGAATATTATCAAACAATTGATAATTGAATATCAGCATTAATTTAATTAATACTTACCTAGTGTAATATTATACACAGTTTTTCAATAGCAACATTAATTCTTGCCTAGTGTAATATTATATGCAATTTTTGAAGAGCAGCATTAATTTAATAAACACTTATCTAGTGTAATTTATATATAATATTTGAATAGCAGTATTAATTTAATTAATAGTTACCTAGTATAATATACGTAATTTATTTAACATATTTGGTTTTATGTTTAAGGCACTTCTCTTGAATTCAGTATTTTGATTTATTTCTAGTATTATGTGTTTTTCTTTTCTCCTTATTTTCTGTTTCTTGTGTTTCTAATTTGGGAGCTTATTATTATTTCTCAATTCTTTTCATCCAGTTTTTGAAACTCATTATCGCCGTTCATTTTTGTTGGCTATTTGAGGTGGGGGAAATTTCTGTTTTTGTTTTTCAGATAATGTCTTTATTCTGTGCTTGTTCTGTCCTTGTTCTGTTCTTATTCTTGAGAGATGGTTTCACTGATTACAACAATCTAGGTTGAAATGTGTTTTCTTTCAATACATTAAAGATATAACAATTTCCTTCAATTCTGGTCTTGTCCTTGAAAAGTCAGCCCTTCAGTTAATTGAAGTTCCTTTGCAGGCAATCTTCTCTCACCTCAGCTGCTTCTAAGACTTTCTCTCTATCTTTGGTTTACTGCAATTTTACTCGCTATGCCTAATAGGAGAATTTCTTTTCTTTCTTTCCTTCCTTCCTTCTTTTCATCCTTCCTTCTTCCTTCATTCTCTCTCTCTCTTTCTTTTCCCTCTTTTTTTGCTTTTCCTTCCTTCTTTCCTTCATTCCTTCCTTCCTTTCTCTCTTTTTTTATCATTACTTTGATTAAATTGTATTACTAGTTCTATTTCTTCTAATATTTTATTTCAAACTCAAATTATTTGTATGTTACATATGCTCACTTCTAATCATCCACCATTTTCATATTTTCAAGTATCCATGTATTTGTTATTCATAATAATATTTCATGTTCTAATAATATTGATGTTATAATATTATTATATTTCATTGTCTGATTTATTTTAACATCTGAAGTTATTGTCTTCAGTAGTCATCTTTTGTGTGTAGTTTCTACAGCTTCTCATTCATAGTACTTTCATTTCTTGTGGAATTTGTTATTTTCTACTGTGAATAGGTATTACTTGGAAATTTTTTCTTACAATAGTATTGAAGTCTGATTGACATTGAATTGTTTGAATTTTCTTTTTGTCACTTTCCCTGGGGGTGGACATATTACTCTAATATCACTTAAATTAAAGTATTTTACATAGGTATACAAAATAAGGCTTCAAATTCTTGTGAGGGATGCCTTGTGAACATAAATTCTCAAAGGAGACATTATTATCTCTTTGTATAGCATCAATATTCAGGCATAATATTTTCAGAAGGCTTCTAAGAAATACTATTTGATACTTAAAAGATACATAAAGGCTTTATCAAGCAAAAAAAAAGAGGAATGTTAACATTCATATATTAGTCCGTTCTCACGCTACTACAAAGAAATACCCAAGACTGGGTACTTTATAAAGAAAGATATTTAATTGACTCTTAGTTCTGCATGGCTGGGGAGGCCTCAGGAAACGTACAATCATGGTAGAAGGCAAAGGAGAAGCAGGGACTTTCTTCACAGAGTGATAGGATGGAGTGAGTGTAAGCGGGGGAAATGCCAGATGATTATAAAATCATCAGATCTTGTGAGACTCACTCACTATCATGAGAACAGCATGGGGGAAACCACTCCCACGATTCAATTACCTCCACCTGGTCCCACCCTTGACACATGGGGATTATGGAGATTACACTTCAAGATGAGATTTTGGGTAGGGACACAGTCAAAACATATCAATTCATTACATATGAAAAATAAATTATAAGTAATATTCCATATTCTTAATAAATACAAAAGCATTCACACTTATAGTAGCAAGAAAATGGAAATCAATTCATCTTTAATAGTTTTGCAATGTAGACCAAATTGTAAGAAGGATTTTTGGTATTTATTTATTACATTTTATCTGAGATTATTTCTATTTCTTTCATAAAACAAAACTGTCAATTAGTCAGCAGACTTCAATTAGATATTAGACCCCAGCTTCAAGAGATAAAAGTCATCTATATAATTGACACCTTACAGAGGTGGCATGTGAAAAGAAAACAGCCAGCCTGTAGAAAATTTAGTCTTTGCTAATCCCAGACACTAGAACTTCATTTGCTCTAAATTTAGAGTCTCTTACATTTTCCTTCTTAACTTACTTTCCTTTGAACCCTGTTTTTTTAAACATTGAGTTGGGGATTTCATTTTTATTTTTTTTGGATCCTCATCAGGACTGGAAGAAGTCTGCCTGAGTCACTGAAAATGATCACAGTGAGCATGATCAGTCCCCCATGAGGGACTGATCCCAAGCAAGCTGGCAGCAACCTGTTCGAACAATTGGAAAACATAATGGAACATCAATGAGGCCACGTCCAGCAGCTTGACAGGCTCTGTCTTTGTTCTTACTGCTCTGTTTCTTGCCTGGTGCCACTTTATCATGATCTGGGATGTTCAGCCTTTTAGATTTTTCCAAAGAACTTATCTCTTTTCAGTTGACAAACCAAGTTGTGCAGAGTTTAGTAAGTGTAATCTGGCAATTCATGAAGACTTTCCTTAAGGAATGTGGATTTAAATAGTTTTGAGGCAATGATTTCTCAGATCCTCAACTTTCATGTATACTATTTTCTCAAGTTCACTGCTTTATTTTTATTTTTTTCAGATAAGGCCTTGCTCTGTTGCCCAGGCTGGGGTGTGGTAGTGTGACCACAGCTCACTGCAGCCTCCCGCTCCTGGGCTCAAGCAATCCTCCCACCTCAGCCTGCTGAGTAGTTGGGATTACAGGCATGCACCACCACCCTCAGCTAAGTTTTTAAATTTTTGTAGGAACAAGGTCTCACTATATTGCCCAGGCTGGTCTCAAACTCCTGGGCTGGCACAGTCCTCCCACCTCAGCTTCCCAAAGTGCCGAGATTACAGGCATGAGCCACTGCACCTGGCCTATATAGTTAATTCTATTTTGAAGATTAACCTGTAACAATATATAGACATATGCACAGTCTTTGCTGCAGCACTAATTGTGTAGCAAAACGTAGGAAATAACTGATTGTCCAGCATTAAAAATCTGATTAAATAAACCACGGAACTCTATAGAAAACCAAGTAGTGTGCTTTGAAGTTCTAAACATCACTGTGAAATACTTCTAGAATGATGACCAGAAGATAAGTTAAAACATGCACAATGGACAAAATGGCATCTAATATGCTACCATTCCTACATATGGAGAAAGGAGGAAACTAGATAAAGGGCACAAAATATGATTTATGTTTCAGAACTTATTTGTTTTTAGATTTGTTTTAGGAACCATAGTAATGTTTTATAAAATTATAACACAACATTAATTTATTTTGCAAAAGCAATCCCTGCAAATTAAAAGCAAATGCAACTAAGGAACCAACTATATATGAAGCTAGTGGCATAATCATACAGAAATGAACTATGTCAGATCACTTAAGTAAACCAGTAAAATGACATGATATCCACAGAGATGTATACACTGAGAAGCAAAATACTCAAAATGCAAATTAAAAAATTAATCTCAATGCAGGTTAGTAATCGTATTGTCACTGAGAGTGTTGATATTTTGAAGCCAGCTAGACAAACTTCACCAAGAATATACCTAAATTCAAACAAAACAAGGCTTATTAAATTGTAACAGTATCCTGGCAAGGATGTGAAGAAAAGGGAAAGTTTGTACACTGTTGGTGGGAATGTAAATTAGTAAAACCACTGCAGAGAATAGTATGGAGGTTCCTCAAAACACTAAAAATAGAGCTACCCACTGTTAGCTATATACCCAAAAGAAAGCAAATTGATATATCAAAGAGTTATCTGTCCTCCCATGCTTGTTGCAGTACTGTTCACAGTAGCCAGGATTTGGAAGCAACGTAAGTGTCCATCAACAGATGAACAGATGAAGACAATTTGCTACACACAAACAATGGCGTACTATTGAGCCATAAAAAAGAATGAGATCCTGTCATTTCCAACAACATAGATGGAACTGGAGATCATTAAGTGAAATAAGCCGGGCACAGAAAGACAAACATTGCGTTCTCTCATTTATATGTGGGATCTAAAAATCAAGACAATTGAAGGCATGGACATAGAGTGTAGAAGGATGGTTATCAGAGGCTGGGAAGGGCAGTGGGACAGGGGATGTTTGCGGTGGAAATGAGGGTGATTAACGGATATAAAATGTAACTAGAAAGAATAAATAGGACCTTTTATTTGATAACCCAACAGGTTACTCTAGCAATAATAATTTAATTGTATATTTTTCAATGGCTAAACGAGTATAATTGGATTGATGTAACACAAAGGATTAATGCTTGAGGGGATGATAACCCATTCTCTATGATGTGATTATTATTCTGCATTGCATACCTGCATGAAAACATCTTATGTACCCCATAAATATATATCTACTATGTACTCACAAAATTTAAAAGCAACCAACTAAATAAATAAATAAATTTCTACAGCAAAGAAGTAGAGGACCTATGGAGCATCTCAGTAAGGGAGGTGGGAAGTGTTTATTATGCGATTGGGGCTTTTATTAAAGATTTTGGGATGGAGTCCAAGAAAATAAATCAGTTGCTATCACACTGGGACAATTCAGTGATTGATTGTCTTAATATATTTTATTAAAAGACTAGAGAAATATAGGTGAGCTAAGCTTATCATTGTTACTAAAACTATAGTAACTCATATGAGCTGAAAGAGGAAAAGATTAGGTTGTCAAATTGATTGTATAGGGATCAGTTTAGATGTGATTACAGAGTGATCTTGTTTCTATGTTGTTCTTCCATAGTCAAGGAGTGACCCTGTCTCATTTTTGTTAATGTCCTCTGGAAATTGCTTCTGCTCAAAAAGAAACATCATGGTCTACCCCTTAGTTTCCATCTGCCATCTGTTAGTTCTCCGTCTCCCATTATTCCTGCCTTAAGCAAAGATATATGAAGCAAGGCCAGAGGACAATAATCTGTATGTAGTGTTCAATTCTGCAATGTTCCCCAAATGTTATGGTTTACGGATTGTTCAGGGAACTTCTGCAGTTGGGACAATTACATGTTATCATTTCTTTTGCTGCAGGATTATGTTTTGAATAGTGTCCCATGACAGCATCACAAAAGTGTTGGGAAACAACACTTGTGCTCCATGGGACCCTTGCTTTCTGCATGCACACAAGAAGAGGCATGGACAACTTTTGTCATTTTGTATGTCTTGCACTTTATTTTAAAGGATACTTTTCTAGCAAAATGCCTGGATATATAAACATAGTATCCACCTTCATAGCAGAATGAGGATTTGTTTTTTCTATACAGTAGAAGAAAGATAATGTCTTCTTCTGAAGCAGAGTTTGGAAAGGTTTACTTGCAGCCTCTATAAAAGTTTGGTGTTTCCCCAACTCAAGATTTTTCAGCTGTGATGGAAACCAAAAGCCTGTGTCACATCCATGTGGGCTTACCTCTGTAGCTTGAGATGCAAAGAGAACTGATGTGGATATGAAACTTTTTCTATTTGTTGTGCTATGAGTAAAGAGCTCTTCATTTGTGACTAAGAAGTCTCCTGTGTTCTGCCAGTGTCCACAAAACTGTGGCAAGCTAGCTTGCTAACTTGAGGTGGGAGTAAATCTGAGATTATTCACAGTTGTTGACAACTACTAGCCTTTAAGACTCTTGAAAAAAAATGCACGAACCAATGCAGGCAAATGCTTCAATAAAATGGTTATTAGGATTCACAGTAGACTGTAAATAAGGGCCTGAAAGCCAAGTCATGAAAACCTAAACACATCCCACATTCATGGGGGTCAGTTCTAGAGAGACAGGTGGACATTTCCTTTCATCTCATCATGGATATTTTACCAAAATATGATTATCTATAATCCTTATCTCTCTTCATCTACCAGTGTATCTGTCTTATTACCTATTTTTCTCTCTGTAATTGTTTATGAAAGCACATAGGCAAATAAAGTTTAACTACTTGATGCAGAAATATTGTCTACCAGAGAAGTAGTACCTTAGTGTGTTAGTGGGCCTCAGATGGTATTGGGAGCGTGATTATATTTGTCATTAAGAGTAGTGAGGTAAATATTGGTCTCTTAAAACAGGTAGATTTTCTGAGTGAAGGCGATTAGTTACTGAAAAGAATTCTTATCATTCAACCCAGCAATCCCATTACTGGGTATATACCCAAAGGATTATAGATCCTTCTGTTATAAAGACACATGCATGCCAATGTTCATTGCAGCACTATTCACAATAGCAAAGACAAAGAATCAATAAATGTCCATCAATGGTAGTGGTAGACTGGATAAAGAAAATGTGGTACAGATACACCATGGTATACTATGTAGTCCTAAAAAAAATGACATCATGTCCTTTGCAGGAACATGGATGGAGCTGGAGGCCAGTATTCTTAGCAAACTAACACAAGAACAGAAAACTAAATACTATGTCCTCTTCACTAATAAGTGGGAGTTAAATGATGAGAAGATACGGACACATAGAGGGAAACAATAGACACTGGAGCCTATGAGAGGGTGAAAGGTGGAAGGAGGGAGAGGATCAGGAAGAATAACTAACGTGTACTAGGCTCAACACTTAGGTGACAAAATAATTTGTACAACAAACCCTCGTGACATGAGTTTACCTATATAGCAAACTTGCACATGTACCCCTGAATCTAAAATAAAAGTTTTAAAAAAGGATCTGGAGTTAACAGAGTGGATCTGACAGAATTAATCAATCTGTGTTTCTACTGCTGGTTAGTCTGGTCTGGTTTGCTGTAATGATTTCTGTAGAAATATTTTATCTACGTATAGTCAAAATAAAATGTTGATAATAGTAAAGCATTGGATTAATAATGTTAGGGAAATATAAAATTTAGAGAGAGAATATCAGAGAAATCTAACTTCTAAGACCTTATCAGAATTAAATTTTGTCAGAGGTCATCAAATGAGGGATGACAAATTCAGTAATTATTTGAATTCAGAGTAGTAGCTGTGGTTGTGGAAAAGTGCATATGAGTCTTGCCTTTTCTTAGATAGTAGAAGAACACCACAGAGGATTCAAAATAAAGAGATAAATATAGGTGCAAGCATATTTTTAAAAACTTCAGGAGGTTGCTGAGGGATACCACTGAATGATAATAGATAAGTGGTAAACCAAAAGGAAAAAAATTAACAGGAGAAAATATGTCAGAAAATTAATCTGTTTCCATCATCTCAGGTGTTGTAGACCTCATTTCAACATCTGCTTGGTATAAGGATCCTGGTTTAGCTTTTCTCTTCTAAAGTTCATATGCTTCTGGAAGATTCCAGAAACATATTCTGGAAGGTTCCTAAGAATCCTCATCTTAATATTTCATGAAAGAATGGAATACAATGATCTGTAGAGGAGAGCAAATGCCTTTTGATGAAGAAACATGAATCCAGGGATCAACCTCTTGGGGTTTTATTGTTTGTGATAGTTTTTAAGAGTTCCTAATGAGGTGTTTTCCACTGAGACTTAGTGGCACTCTGGGATGTCTCTATCAGAAGACTAAATCTTTTTATTTCAGGCTATGCAAAATCTACTTAAGAAGATATTTTGAATGTCTTGTAAATGGTTTTTCTACCTGGTGATTATAAATCTGTATAAAGTGTATGAATATTTCACAGTATTTAGCCATACCACTTTGCATTAGGGCAGACAAATATTTAGATTGAAATCCCCAAATTCAAGGTGCATTAACTCATAAAGGAAGAGCTTATGTCAACAGGTTTAGGCCAAAAGAGTTCCACAGCACTCAAGAACGCTGTCAGATTTTAGTTTAAATCTATTGTGTGTGTGCTTTATTTTTTCTGATGATTTAGCATGGAAGCTGAAGTCTTTGGGTTAAAAGGCAAAGCTTTGGAAAGTTCTTTAATAAGCATTCAGTGAAACGTGGCTCTCCATCAGTAAAAAGCCTCAGTCTATTCTCAAAATAAGCAAACCCAGACCAGAGCATAATAAAACATATTGAGTGGAGGAGTATTAAATTCAGTTATCTGTTTCTAACTGGAAGGCTATGCAAGGCTAATTAATACAACCATTGATCTGGTTTAACTTCTGGGAGAGGATTGTATGTCAAGGATCTGAAATCTGATGCTCAATTGTGCTTTCATTGGTCATAGTCAATTAAAAATGAGGTTTTTTTTTGACACATCCTCACTTGTAATTGAGAGCATCTTTGCTTGTGATATGACAAGAAATTCAATGTTTTTCTTGTTTATTTTCTGCCCCAGGTCTAGAGTCAACCATATCTCAAAGGACCCCTGGTTCTGGTAATTGGAAAATGGCATATGAAGACCAGAACCTGACCACTAAAGGTGCTGAAGCTGACCTGACCCTTGTTTCTGTTCCTATAGAGTGGATAAACTATGAAATATGCATTTTTAAAAACTTTAAATACATTGTAAGTTTATACTGATACTCTTAAGTAAAAAAACCATAGGATTTTATTTTCCCTTATCCATCTTATACCTGAATCTTTTATCTCTTCACTAATTAATCTAGTTGCCATTTAAGCCAACATATTTTACTGAAACACATTTCATAGTTGGAGAATACCAATACTGAGAAGGGAAACAAACAAAGAACAATAGCAACAACAGTGCCATGATGGCCAACTGCTGGCCTTTGGCAACCAACAGCTAGGCCATGATGTTCTTCTTGATCTAAAAATGTTTCTGAAGAAGATCAACAATAATCAGACAGACTCATTTTGACCACGGTAGAATAAGATAAAAGCAAAATGACTCTTTTTTCTTGTTTTGTTTTGAGACAGAGTCTTGCTCTGTCACCCCAGGCTGAAGTGCAGTGGCACGATCTTGGCTGACTGCAACCTACGCCTCCGAGATTCAAGCAATTCTCCTGCCTCAGCTTCCTGAGTAGCTGGGATTACAGGTGGATTCCACCACTCCCGGCTAAATTTTTGTATTTTTAGTAGAGATGGGGCTTCACCATGTTGGCCAGGCTGGTCTTGAACTCCTGACCTCAGGTGATCCGACTGCCACGGCCTCCCAAAGTGGTGAAATTACAGGCGTGAGCCACCAGGCCCAGCCAGGCAAAATTACTCTTTAATCCCATCTGAACACAGAAACAAGGATAGATGCCATTATGTAAATAATCAAATAAACCTCTCTTCCAGCTGACATGCATGACTACTCTTCCATTTCTTGTAAAAACTATTGTCCTAGGTTGTTCCTTCTGCCTCTTCCTAAAAATTGTTAAGACCTCCAGTCTCCTATTTATTACAATTGCCGATTGGTCTCAATACAAGACAAACTTTCCTTTGAACTTTAAAAAAACTGCCTATGATAAATCATCATCTGTAATAAATGTCTCATAACTCCCTCTTACTGAAACACTTTATCGTTTCTCTGATCAATTCTTGTTTTCTATGGCAAGTTAATAAATCTATATTTGTTTGACTACATGCATGTTTCTGGTGGTCACTAACTGATGGACTTCAGAAAAACTACAAAGTCCACCAAAATTTGTCTGAAACTCTTGCTTCAATGGACCAGAGCCCTTCACTTGATAACGAATAGGGGATACATCCTTGCCACCTTGCATCTCTACTGGCTCAGAAGGAAGGCCACCCTTCCCAGAATCTCAAGATAACTTTTCTGAGCTCTGATTATTTCATCAAGGCTGTCAGAATTAGTTTTTAAATTTATTGTCCTGGGAATAGATAAAACCAATATTCCTTACGAATAGAATCTCCACTATAGGCTGGGCGTGGTGGCTCACACTTGTAATCCCAGCTCTTTGGGAGGCCGAGGTGGTGGATCACCTGTGGTCAGGAGTTCAAGACCAGCCTGGCCAACATGGCGAGACCCTGTCTCTACCAAAAATATAAAAAATTATCTGGGCATGTTGGTGCACACCTGTAGTCCCAGCTACTCGAGAGGGTGAGGCAGAAGAATCGCTTGAACCAGGGAGGCGGAGGTTGCAGTGAGGAGATCGTGCCACTGCACTCCAGCTTTGGTGACAGAGCGAGACTCTGTCTCAAAAAAATAATAATAATAATAATGATAATCTCCATTTATAAAAGGTACTGACTGAAATGTGGACCTTAAATCTGGATCACTTTCAGATGTCTGTGCCGTTGTTAAGAATATTCTAATCTCTAAGGCGGAAAAAAAAAGTTTGTTGAAAAATGTATACTTGTCCTTGGTTCTTACATTTCACTTCTCCCTTACCTCTACCATTTTGTCCATTCTTTTGGTGAGGCCAAAGGATAGAAAAATTTTGTTGAAAATGCCTGTTGGCAAGACGATGATAATAATTTAGAAGTTAAAGAAACATTCAAGGGGGAAAAAAATCCACCATTTTGTCCAAGATACTTGTTATTATAATATTGTAAATAAAAAGGTCGATAAAAAATAGTTTTCACATTCTTACTACAAATAAAGAGAAAATATTAAATTCATATGTTTATTCCTCTTTAAATTTATTCCTTCTGAAAGTTTTAACTCAAAGGGGATAAAAATTTAGCTGTATTTTTTTTTTATTTTAAATTATGAACCTGGTTACAAAGTTTCCCAAAATAAGATCAGTGTACTCAACTTTTGGCATGATTTGGAGACCTTAAAAATTAGTTTATTAAATCAGAGGTTTATAGATTATATCAAGATAACAGTTCAGGTACTATTTCAGATAATAAGATATTCAATTAGACAAATGCAAGTCAGCTAATAATATTGATTTTAAAGAAAACTATTTTTTTCTCCCTGGTTTTACTATAAAAATAAGTGTAATCACAACATCCTATTATGTTGAGAACAGGATTAACTTATAAATATCTTCTGAATGAATGATACTGATTCTATGAGTCAAGTAAGATATGAGTGTTTCCTTATAGTTAAGATTCCAAAAGGATGTAAAATTATGTTTACCTCTATAGAACTGTAAAACAGAATATTTTAAAAGAGTTTATGCCTCTGAAATTCTATTACAATATAACTATTAAGAAATTAACTTAATGAAACTTGTAAATACAGGTTGTTTATTGACTTAAAACCTTAGACAAATGATACATTGAAGTGATTAAAATAGAGTCTTTGAATACTTTGCAATTTCTAAATATCAAAATGATGCAAAACAGTGATTGCTGAACCAACTTTTAATTTATTCATGTTACACTTTGTACAAATGGATTTGAATGCCATTTCAATTGTGGCTATTTTTGCCACCTTAAAATTTACAAAAAATAGAATGTTTTCTCATGGGAAAAAAAACTGACAACATGTTTTCCTTTCTTCTAGTTTTCTCCTGGTGTTTGAAGAAAACAAAGTGAATTATTTTGATTAAGAATTGTAATTATTATTATTATTCGAAATCGCGTAAATGTTAAAAAACACTAGGTGTATTTGTTATGGAAAGATAAAAACTGTAAACAAGAAAATAATTTGTCTCTTTACTGATAAAACTTTCAGGGTGTATTAAGATGGTAAATACATTATAAACTAACATTGCCTTATTAAAATAGTAATACAGTAAATGATGAAAAATTAAAGCTGTGGAAAGTTTTACACTAATCATCTTTTTGTATATTTATTTATGTATATTTATACAGCTATGTTATATATGCAAGACTGTGTAAAAAACACTCTTATAAGAGTGACTGATACTGTGACCCACAGTCGGGGTCACATTTGGATGTCTGTGCCATGGCTACGAATTTTCCAATCTCTAAGGCAGAAAGGAAAAAGTGTATTGAAAAAGTTAGATACAAATTTGTATAAAAATTTGATTTAAGATACAAATTTGATTTAGATAGAAACACACTTATAAGAGTGTTTTTAAAGAGTGTTTTATAATCTTAATAAGATATTTATATGTTTTATATATATGTATAACAATAAATTCTTTACTGCTAATTGTTATTTGTATCTCTACTGGCTCAGAGGGAAGGCCACCCTTCCCATAATACCAAGGTAAGTTTTCTGAGCTCTGATTATTTCATTGAGACTGCCAGACTTAGTTTTTAAATTTATTGTCCTGGGAATAAATGAAACCAATATTCCTTAGGAATAGAACCTCCATTTGTAAAAGGCACTGACTGAAATGTGGACCTTAAATCTGGGTCACATTTAGGTGTGTGTGCCATTGTGAAGAATTTTCCAATCTCTAAGGCAGGTATCTAAATTTTTCAAATATAGATACAAATTTAGATACAAATTTTTTATACAAAAAATCAAATTTTGTTTTTTTTTCTAAGTTTACCAGTTATTTTGGGCCTACATTGTAGAGTTTTCTTTTTATCATCCAAATATTGTTAACTTTCTGTACTTTCGGCCTTCTCTTGAATCCCTAATTTTTAAAGTTCAAATTTACATTGTTTCATATGCTGTGCATTAGGAAAATATTGATTGTAACTATTTCTTTATTTTAGATATTTAAGACTTTAATTCATATATTTTCTCCTTTAAAAATTCTTAACTGTGCTTTCTCCAATTCAAATTTCAGATTCAGAATAATAAACTCTTTGGATGTCTTTTATAACTAAATCATCTTTTGCTTTCCTAGAACTACAAAGTAGCAAAAAAGTTTGCTGTTCCACCTAAAAAAGGAAGCATTATACAAATAATTAGATTTGTTTGATGGGCTCTACATTTTAATGAATGAAAAACTATTGTGAGAATCCTTTTGTTTATGAAAGTTATAACAAAATAACCGTTGAATCAAAAGAGAAATGTAGTTTTCCTTGTGTTAATTATGTATAAATACAATGTATTAATTGAAACATATTTCAATGATTGTGAATTTGGGGGGTTAACAGCACAAAAACTGTAGCATCTTTTCATTGAAAAGGATGTTATTCTTAGGTTTCTTTCTAGGTTAAATATTCCTGCGAATTGGGAACAATGATACTGCACTATATGGAAGAATGAAAGTTCCTGAAGATTCAGTCCTCCTCTCTCTGATTTGTCTTCATGTTAGCATCTTTTCATTGAAAAGGATGTTATTCTTAGGTTTCTTTCTAGGTTAAATATTCCTGCGAATTGGGAACAATGATACTGCACTATATGGAAGAATGAAAGTTCCTGAAGATTCAGTCCTCCTCTCTCTGATTTGTCTTCATGTGACAATATCAATCACTATAACGCACTGAGTCCAGAAAGCTAGTCCTCTCTCACCTGAAGAAGAAAAAAATTCATGGTTATTTAACCTCTTTTAAAAAACTATCTTTGCCATTTGCAGATTCCATGGAAAATCTGAGTAACCAGACATCCAAAAGACAGAAAACAACCTGTCATTCCAAAAAAAAGCTGCAAAAGTTGTCAGGTGACACATCAGTTGGAGGACTCACATAACATATGGGTTTTTGAATAAAGATTCTCTTTAGAGTTATTGTTATGTAGATCACATAAAGGGATATCCAGCACTTGGGTCAGAGGCTTCTGATTCACAGGACTATTAGTTAACCTGAATTGAGTAAAACCACCCAGCAATCAATCTGTAAGTAACAGCTTTATCATTGCAGAAGGAGGGGGGACCTTGCAACAAACAGTGAAAAGTCTCTAAAGTGAGCTGGTGAGGCACAATTTCCTGCAGGCAGGTGCAGGTTTTGTTATGTGACACAGGCTGTTATAGAATGCTAGATGTATCACATAATTTCCAGTTACAGTAATTTGTGCATGTAGCTTTTGGCAAACAGAGAATAAATATATAATTTTTAAATTAAATTCTCTACGGTCCAGCCAAATGGATGTTTAGGAATATTCTCTGTAATGTTTACAAAATACCCCTGAAGAAAGATTAAGCATTTTTTTTTTTTTTTTGAGATGGAGTTTTGCTCTTGTTGTCCAGGCTGGAGTGCAATGGCGCCATCTCGGCTCACTGCAACCTCTGCCTCCCACGTTCATGCGATTCTCCTGCCTCCTCAGCCTCCCGAGTAGCTGGGATTACAGGCATGCACCACCACGCCTGGCTAATTTTTGAATTTTTTAGTAGAAACGGGGTTTCTCCATGTTGGTCAGGCTGGTCTTGCACTCCTGACCTCAGGTGATCTACACGCCTCAGCCTCCCAAAGTGCTGGCATTACAGGCGTGAACCACTGCCCCCGGCCAGATTCATTTAGGCTTTTATTTATAAGAACAGTCTACAAATAGTCCTATGCGTTTTTATGAGGGTCTGATTAATCCCTAATATTTGTTTGCTTGGGTTTGGGGAATCAACTATATTCTTTAACACTTTCAAATGATCTATTCATTTATTGTTCTGTCTGGAAGTTTCGTATGACTGGTTTTCCAGGTTTCTTTTTTTTTTTTTTCTGAGACGGAGTCTCGCTCTGTTGCCCAGGCTGGAGTGCAGTGGCGCAATCTCCAGGTTTCTAATCTATCTTCTATATCTCTATCATTTTTTTTTACCTTTTTGGTTATTCACATTACATTCTGAGATATTTCACCAGTTGTATCTTTCAGCATGGTAATTTCTCTAATAAACAGGGTCCCACTAATACTAATTAAACTAATAGTTGCATTATGTACATGAACTACTAAAATTTAAAAAAGTTTAATAATGACATTTTAATTTTAAGATTTTCAGTATGTTCTTTTACATAATGCCTTTTTACCCCTTTTTTTTTACTTATTCAACCTTATGATTTGTTTATTTATTTATTTATTTTTATTTCTTCTAAAGAAAAGAAACGGGATACATGTGCAGAACATGCAGGTTTGCATAGGTATATGTGTGCCATGGTGGTTTGCTGCACCTATTGACCCATCCGCCAAGTTCCCTCCCCTCTCACTTCCCACCCTGCAACAGGCACTGGTGTGTGTTGTTCCCCTCTCTGTGTCCATGTGTTCTCATTGTTCAAATCCCACTTATGAGTGAGAACATGCCATGTTTGTTTCTTACTGCCTCTCCAATTAATCCCCACTACTCTCCTCCTTCAGTAGGCTCCAGCCATTCCTAACACACCGGGCTTGCTTTTGACTCATGGATGCCTCAATTATCATTTCTTTGTAGGGAATCTGCAAATAGTCAGGTGGACAACCTTTCTGCCATTCAGATATCAGCTCGCAGACGACCTCAGAGAGGTCTTCTGTTTCTTCTTTCTGATTCTATCTCATTAACCTGTGTGGCTATCTTGCTCTGAAAGTATCTTCTTTCTTTTCACATATTTTATTGATATTATTACCTCTCAACAAGTATAATCAACTCCAGGCGATTACAGGCCTTGCTTTTGTTGCTTTGTTTATTTGTTTTCGTTCTTGAACTCCACAAGCCTAGATCAATGTCTGGGACATATAGGTTTAATAAGTATCTTTTAAATAAATGCATTGATTGTGATATGAAGTTAGAGAGAGTGTGTCATAGACCTTGCATAGAATTTGAAAACTATAAAGAAAATTTCTGAAAAATATGTTTTATTACAATTAAAAGCAAAAGAATTTTGAAGAGTGAAAATAAGTTTGTGCATAAAAATTGCTAAGAAAAAGGATTTATGCAGAAGAGGTTTTAGTTCAAGATAGAATTGGAGATGGATTCAAAATGTCCATCTGATCAATGTATAATACTAACATTGAAATAAGCTTAAACTGTCAAAGGCAATTAAGTGTTGATGTGCAAAATACTGACTTTTTTTGACCCTGTTATACATGCATCATTTTGAAGATATTATTTGTATACAAACATAAAAAACACATTGCTATGATTTAAAGTTCAAATAATTACAATGTCAAAAATCCTTTTACATTGATCTGCCCTCTGATTACATTATCATGACTATATAAACAATTTTCTTGCTACTTGGTGAATAAATGCATTCCCTAAAATAAATTTTGGAGAAATGTAAGAACAATAGAGAAACAAGAAGCTGTTTCCAATATTATATGGTAATATTAGTGATAATCCAGGGCTAAATTTTCAAATAGTAATGATCATTAATGTTTAATATGTTTCTATTTAATAGGCCTGACTAATTGTGTTAAGTATGCTTGTTTGCCTTTATCCCTCATTTTCTATGTAATGGTAATCTTACAATAACATTACACTAGTTTACCTAATTTGCCAACATAAGACACATATTTTTAGTGGAACATTTCATGCTTTCATAGCTTAAGAAGACATTGCAGATTAATTTCAATAATTAAGATCCAAATTCTAATACTAACTTTTGCTCTATTGCTAGAATAATTAATATTTGCCTTGATTTGTCTGTGTCTGCTCTTCTTCAAAGTTTAACACTATAAAGATACCAATAGTTTTTGTGATTCAATAGCACCTTTGAAAACTATGGTAGCCCTATATATGCTTCTATTCATTTCACTAGTATCTGCTAGCATAGTTGAGTCATTGAGTCTGGTCATTATTATTCTGGAATTAGTAATTTAACATTTCATTTTAAAAGCACTGAGTTTGAGATCAAAGGAATCAGAGTCTGCCCAGCAAGATAAACTTTTGTCTTTCTCCTGTATGGTCTTAGCTATCACAGGACTTCTAATGCAGAAGGTCATCTCCTTGGCATGTTTAATTCATCTTCCCTTTCAACTTTAAATGGTTATTACAAAGATAAAAATATTCCAAATATTTGAAGTCTACAAAAGGCAACAGAGCTGTTTATTCCACTCTTTTAATAAGTAAATTTATTCATCAGTAATATGTATATGGCACATTAACAATGTGAATTTTATGACAATAAGAAGAAAAATAACCTCTTGTTTATAATCAATAAGTAACAGACTAAAACATGCACACATATGTTTGTGTATGTATGTATTTAGAATGTTATCCATATATACATATACATACCTCAAAACATAAAGATGAATACATACACACACTTCTAGAAGATAAACATGTTGATATAAAGAGATCTATACATATGTACATATGAATATGTGCATATAATAAATATTTTAAAAATAAATGATTCTGAGGTAGTTGCCTAGGGCTGGGAGAAGGACAGAATGGGGAGTTATTGTTTAATGGGTACGGAGTTTTAATTTTACAAGAAGAAAAGTTATGGAGATTGAGGGTGGTGATGGTGGGACAACATTGTGGATGTATTTAATGACTTATCTGTACACTTAAAAATGGTTAAGATGGGAAATTTTATATTATGTGTATTTTGCTGTAAAATGAAAAAAATGGCTTTAAAAAAATGGCTTTGAGTGAATTGAATATCCTTATGGAAAAAATTGATGTTGATCCCTTCCTACCTTATGATCTTGACAATAAATAAAAGTTAATATCAAATGGATTACAGATCTAAGCAATATATTTAGGATTATATTTCTCAGTATGAAAGTCAAACAATAAAGCCACTAGAAGAAAATATAAAAGATTTTGATTGTTGGGCAGGAAATATTAATTAAAGTAGGACCCAAAAATAGTATTTATTTTACAAACTGACCAACTGGATGTATTAAAATGAACAACTCATGTTCCTTACAAGACACCATCAAGAGAGTAAGTGAGCATGCCTCCTCGTTGGAAAATATTGTGTATATCTCACAGAGAATTCATATCCTTAAGGTTTATTTGAATCAATAAGTAAATTTTAAAAATCCAGTAAGTAAATGACTCAAAGACTTGAACAGGAATTTTGTGAAAATGATATCCAAATTATAAATAAACATAATGATTTGCTTAACTACTTTCATCATCATATAAATGCAAGTTAAAACACAATATAATGCCACTATACACACACCAGAAGAGCTAAACTTAAGACATCATACCATATGGTGGTGGGAATGTGGAGTAACTGAAAATCTGATACACTACTGATGGGAACATCATCTTATAGACGGATTTTAGAAAATTGTTTGCCACTATCTACTAATGCTAAAAATAATATGTCCTATGGCCCAACAATTCTAGGTATATATACGGAACAGAAATGTGTACAAAAGTTTACCAAAAACATGTGCAGTTCGCAGAAGCACAATTTGTAAGAGCTAAACACTGGAAACATCATTAGAGTTTTGGGGTTTCTGATTTGTTTCTTTTGTTTGTAAATGATTTGTCTTTGATTTTTGCTGTGTTGAGTGCGTGTTGTTTTATCTTTCCAGCATCTATTTCCTTTTTCCTTCTAAAAAGAGTAATGTCCCACATCACCATTTTCCTATACTCTAATAACAGGGTGAGCTCATGACCCATTACCAGACAATTAGTTCAAAAAGGGCATCGTAATTGTCCTCTGGGATTGTATATACGGATATTTGTGGAAAAATTCTTTTTTTTTTTTTTTTGAGACAGAGTCTTGCTCTGTCACCAGGCTGGAGTGCAGTGGTGCAATCTCAGCTCACTGCAACTTCCGCCTCCCAGGTTCAAGTGATTCTCCTGCCTCAGCCTCCCACGTAGCTGGGATTACAGGCGCATGCCACCACACCCAGCTAATTTTTGTATTTTCAGTAGAGGCAGGGTTTCACCATGTTGGCCAGGACGGTCTCGAACTCCTGACCTCATGACCCCCTGCCTTGGCCTTCCAAAGTGCTGGGATTAAGGTGTGAGCCACGGCGCCTGGCCGAAAAACTCTTTTTATCTTCTTTGCCTTCACTAACTAGTATGGTGCATCCCCAAAGCTCTGTCCCTACACAGAGTGTATTAGTCAGGGTTCTCTAAAGGGACAGAACTAACAGGATAGATGTACATATGACGGGAAGTTTATTAGGAGAATTGACTAACACGATCACAAGGTGAAGTCCCACAATAGGCCCTCTGCAAGCTGAGGAGCAAGGAAGCCAGTCCGAGTCCCCAAAGCTCAAAAGTAGAGAAGCCGATAGTGCAGCCTTCAGTCTATGGCCAAAGGACCCACAGCCCCTGGGAAACCACGGGTGTAAGTCCAAGAGTCCAAAAGCTGAAGAACTTGGAGTCCAATGTTCAAGGGCAGGAAGCATGCAGCACAGGAGAAAGATGGAGGCCAGATGACTTAGCCAGTCCAGTCTTTCCATGTTCTTCTGCCTGCTTTTATCCTAGCAACACTGGCAGCTGATTAGATTGTGCCCACCTGGACTGAGGATGGGTCCGCCTTTCCCAGTCCACTCACTCAATATCTTCTTTGGCAATATCCTCACAGACACACCCAGGGACAATAATTTGCATCCTTCAATCCAATCAAATTGACACTCAATATTAACAATTACATGGAGGAAACCCTTATACTCTCAGAGGAGAGAGAGAGAGATAGCGCTTGTGCACACAAAAGAGAGCAAGCGAGAGAGAGAGAGAGAGAAAGAACACACTTAACACAGAGAAGGACGAGAGAGTTGAACATTTGAAGGTAAGAGAGAAGGAGGAGAGAGGGAAGGAGTGGAGAAAGCAAAAAAGGAGAAAGAAAGAGAAAAAAATATCAGGATTCAGGTTCTTAATAGATATGAGTCTACCTTTACTCTGACAATCTAGTTAGTATGAGCCAATCGATTTCCTTTTTATGTTCAAAGTAAGTTGAGTTGGGTTTCTTTTATTTGCTCTCAGTAATACAGAAACTGGTACTCCAAAGTGAGTGTTTCATGGAACAGAATCTGAAATACGGATTTAGCTAAATTGAAGCAAGATTGTGGGCTATGAAAATCTTCTTTCTGTTCCTGGCTGGGAAGCTAGCAATTAATTTCACATGGGAGGAAAGCATTGGGAAAACTTTCACTTGTTGACATTTTTGGGAAACAGAACAAGTATTCATCCATGATCAAGCTCTAAATGATATAGTTAAAATGACAGCATCAGGATTTTGGAGTTGTAAAGCTCAGAATTTTTTTTAACCATTGTAGGTTTTCAGTAAAGTTCAAATAGAAAGAGACAAACTTTGGTTACCCTCACTTAAGGCGGGAAGGATAAAGCAGACAAATCCATTAACATAAACTAGCATCCAGTAAGAATAGTATTAGAAAGTGAACATCTATCAAGGTGGTAAAATCCAAATTCCATGCCTCATGCTAACCTTCATGGCAGTACGTTATGGAAGTAATAAATCCAAGAGATGGCACTGGGTCCCAGGAGGACCCTTGTCTCTTGGATTAGACTCATATCTCCAGTCCTCCACCCCTTGTCACACCAGAACTAACCTTCTGCCATAAAGCAGTAGAAATCCTAGGCTGGGCACAGTGGTTCATGCCTGTAATGCCAACACTCTAGGAGGCCAAGGCGGGCCTACCACCTGAAGTCAGGAATTCAAGACCAGCTTGGACATCATGGCGAAACCCTGTCTCTGCTGAAAATACAAAAATTATCCGGGCTTGGTGGCAGGTGCCTGTAATCCCAGCTACTCCGGAGGCTGAGGCAGGAGAATTGCTTGAACCCGGGGAGGCGGAGGTTGCAGTCAGCCAAGATTGTGCCACTGCACTCCAGCCTAGGCAACAGATGAGACTCCTTCTAAAAAAAAAAAAAAAGAAAAACAAAGAACACCCTTGAGCTGATTCTTGTAGGTGGAAAGCATAATAACTTTGTCTTATCTCATTTATTGTTTTATATTTTCCCAAGGCAGAGAGCAGAAGAGACGCAGATATTTTGGGGCTTGAGAGAGAGGGGTAGTGATTTAAGCCCTTAGACCTTGTACTAAGAAAAGTAAATTTAGAGAAACTCCCAGCTATTATGATCAAAGTGTTGATTACCAGATGTTTTAAGTCCCCAGAAAATCAAACTGAAAGGACAAAAAGGGAAGTTTTGCCCCTGAGAACTGTTAGCCCCTTAAACAGAGGACTGTGATTCTGAAATCATAAAACAATTCTCAGAACCTCCTGTCCATGCCAACAAGAAATAAAAAGTACCTTGTCAGGTACGTCAAAGACACATGATGGACAAAGGTGAGCCTTAGTCTGAAAAACTAGAGGTCAACACACCTCCAGACCCAAATACTTACTTATTGACAAAGAAGTCTTGACTCTACATCCTGCAGGATGTGGCATGTGCAATAGATAAGAGGCCGTTCATTTGTCTCCTCTTTCCAGTTCTCTAAATAAGAGTGCTTAATCAGAGGTAGTGTCATTTCAGTTACCTCTGGCATCTTATTTATTTATTTATTTATTTTTCGTTAGGAGCAGTTAATTTCTTACTAGCCATATACTGTAGAACCATGAGTAGCTTGTACAGGCCTGATAAAACACAACCATATCAAACAGGGAACATGTACTTGCAGCTTAATGGAGTTAATGGAAGGAGTAGTTTGGGGTAGACGCTCTCTGGAAAAAGAATGTGTATAATTTAGATTTTATAAAAAATAGGACTACAAGGTCATTGGTCATTGGAAATGCATTTCTAAGGATAAAGTTCTGTTTGTAAACACTGCAAAGAAAGATTAGGGGACAGTTGTAATTTTTATGTAAGATTTCTTCCCTTTATTTTGCTAAAATTAATCCCCTTTCCTTGGGAAGCTATCGTGTTTCCATTAGAGTGGACAATCACATTATCCCACTTTTTGGCCTACAAATCTCAATGCTCCTCCTTCTCTGCACCATAAAATTATCAATGAATCTGCCCAGGTCAGGCCCAGAGTCACTTGCTGAAGTTAAGTAAAGAGGTGAGGGTTGACCCAGGGTTTTGGGGGAAATGGACAACACACTCTGATGATTGACAGTGGAGAGACTATTATAGAGTAAAAACTGGGCTAAGGGAAACTGCAAAGGCTGAGGAAGTGCCCAGGGCAACGACAAAGGGAAGCCATTCCACCCCATCCTTGAAGGGACAAAGGGAAGTAACAGTGCTCTTGAGCCCAGGAAAAGCTTGATCCATAAGACAGGGCCTGCCAGGCACTTCCATCGTGGAAGAATACAGCCAGGAGCAGAGATGTATCCCAACAGGAAGACAGAGGATGAGATGCACCAATCTTTCTTCCCTTCGTCCAATTTCCTGCCAGGGTCTCCCATCAGCAGAGTCAGAGGACAAGGGGACAGGGTGACATAGTCCACAGAGATCAGACTATTGAGTCACAAGCTGTGGCAGAGCAGGGTGAAGAATAGTCTGGAGGCCGGGCGCGGTGGCTCATGCCTGTCATCACAGCACTTTGGGAGGCCGAGGCGGGCGGATCACGAGGTCAGGAGTAGGAGACCAGCCTGACCAACATGGTGAAACCCCGTCTCTACTAAAAATACAAAAATTAGCCAGGCGTAGTGGTGCACACCTGTAATCCCAGCTACTCGGGAGGTTGAGGCAGGAGAATCGCACGAACCTGGGAGGCGGAGCTTGCAGTGAGCCGAGACTGTGCCACTGCACTCCAGCCTCGGCGACAGAGCGAGACTCCATCTCAAAAAAAAAAAAAAAAAACTAGTCTGGAAAGGCCAGTGAAAAATCAATACAGCCCCTACATTGTGACAGTCAGCATCCCTTCTTGTCATTGTTTAGATGAGAACTCAAAACAAAATAAGACAAAACATTCCCATCCCCTACATAAAGCAAGCACAAAGGCCCGCCAGCCCCGTGGCTGAGAGAAAAAAGCCATCTCATTCTTCTGGAATCATTGGCTGGAATGATGTAAGCTTGAATTTGTCCCCAAGGTTTCTCCTCCCACCTGGTAAAGGAACCTTACTGGCAGTGGGAAAGAATGAGGCCCGTCCACTGAGGAGAAGCAGATGAGCATTGTATTAACATATACATTTATATGTTATATATTATATACATTGCACATTATGTATTGTCTATTACATATTCTATATCGTGTTCATTACTTAATAGTAAATATCTCTTGCACGTTATACATTATTTACCACATCTTTTAGTTATGTATCTGTGCTACTGAGATTTTCTTTCAAGAAAGTCTTTCAAGGAAGGACCCCCTGCTTAGCTGTGGGGTGCGCAAGAAGCAGAAAATCTCCAGCTATCAGGTCCTTAAGGGTCGGAGATTGACATCGCTCCTAATGTCACAGCCTTGCAAGGGTGATCTGTGTCACAGAGAAGTGAGAAGTGAGAGTGAAGACAATCTAGAATGGATAATGAAAAGCAGAGAGAGGAGAGAGGAGTCCCAATTGTGGCTGTGACACCAACTGAAGGATGGAAGGTCTCATATTTATCCCACTAGGTTTCTGCTTTGTTACACAGCTCCTTGAGAAACTGACCTGTTGGCTAAGACTATGATGGGCCTGTGTCATATTTCATGTCTTTCTCTTCCACATTCTGCTTCCTTTTTTTTTTTCCTTTTACAGGTTTGATTCTCATGAATACCTTATACCCCAAACTTTTTTGCATTGTCTTCTTCTAGATAACCCAATTTGTGATAGTGTCAGTTATTATTGATTTTATATTAGAGACTAACACTTTTCAATTATGTATCAGTTGGTATATGGTTGTACACTATGATATATATCGTTATATTATATCTATATTTATATCTATCTATGTATCTATACCTCTCTAGTTAGAAAGAGAAAGACACATACACAACACACACACACACACACACACACACACACACACACACACACCCCTACAGAGGAATAAAGAGAGAGGTCCAAAGTTGTAACTCAGATTTATGTTGTCTCAGTCTGGACGTCTCTGCATATTTTTTCTTTTATTTAACATGAGGGATTTGGTAGCATAGCATAGAATACTAAAATTCAGTTTGCAGAAGATAGTTTATATCACATATGGACATAAGTGTCTTCTTTCAAACACCTAAGTGTTCCTTTCATCTGTTACTTTGCAATGGCTAAATCTTTTAGAACGATTTAAGTAACAGTGACAATAAAAGGGATCCTTGGTTTGTCTGTTTCTTTAATGAAACTAACAAGTATTTCACTATGAATTCTAGGAAGGAAAGTTGAGAGGGCAGTTCTTTGTTATCTTCAATGTTACTCTACATCCAAAAGTGTGTTTTAAATCCATCTATTTATCTATCTAATCAGAAAATATGTTGCGTGTTTACAGAATATCTTTGGACATTTATAAAAATTTTTATATCAGTATTTACCATTTTTCTTTTCAGGTTTGTTTTATTTGTATATCTAAAATCTGATAAGGCTACAGTTTTAATTCTTTGGACATTTTTACTGTTACATACACGAATTTGGAAACTTATTGTTTTCATGACCTGTAACTATCTGAAATTATCTAATTATTTCCTGAAATAATCCACAGATGCTTTCAGATTAGTCTCCATTTTTGCTAATTTTGTAATTTTCTTTTTCATAAATTTTTATCAATTGCTTTCCTGATTCTTTTGATCCACCAGGGTGATGACTATTTTTTCTACAATACAGATTATTACAGAAATGTTTTAAAACTATTTGGAATAAAGTGATATTATAATATTTTTTAAAAGTCTTCTTTACATAGAATAATATCAGCATTATTTTCCCAAATGTTATTTATTTGTGGTTTTCTGTTTCGAAAAATTTTCCTGGACTGACATTTGGCTATATGTTGTTCTTCCTATTTTTAGAAAGAGTCTCATTCTGTTGCACTGGCTGAGTGCAGTGGCATGATAATAGCTCACTGCAACCTCCAACTCCTGGGTCCAAGTGATTCTCCTGCTTCAGTCTCCTGAGTAGCTGGGACTGCAGGCCCATGTCACCATGCCCTGATAATTAAAAAAAAAATTTGTAGTTACAGGGTTTGCTTTTGTTGCCTAAACTGGTCTCTAACTCCTGGCCTCAAGCAGTCCTCCTACCTTGACCTCCCAAAGCTTTGGGATTACAGGTGAGAGCCACAGCCCCTGGCCTATAAATTTTTAGTCATCTTAGAAACAGAAGGGGATTAATGGATATTTGCTTCTAGCTTGATTCTTTTAGATGATATTATTTTCGGCTAAAATTTTTATTAAACAGTTAAGATTGTTTTAGGCTTTTTGCTGTTCCAGTTTGCAATGTATGAGCTGAATTTTTCTTTTACTGTCATTCTTCCTCAGGATCTCAGACTAGCATACATCTCTTTTAATAATTATGCTCACATTGCATACATTTTTGAAGTTAACATTCTTTTTACTCTAATTTCTAAATTTTAACATTTCTTTTTTTTTTTTTTTTTTTTTTAGACGGAGTCTTGCTCTGTCTCTAGGCTGGAGTGCAGTGGCGTGATCTCGGCTCACTGCAACCTCCACCTCCTGGGTTCAAGCGATTGTCCTGCCTCAGCCTCCCAAGTAGGTGGGACTACAGGTGCCCGCCACCACACCTGGCTAATTTTTGTATTTTTAGTAGAGACAGGGTTTCACCATGTTGGCCAGGATGGTCTCGATCTCTCTACCTCGTGATCCACCCGCCTCTGCCTCCCAAAGTGTTGGGATTACAGGCGTGAGCCACTGCGCCCGGCCAACATTTCTTTTTGGTTGAAGACGACTAGGCTAAGAGAGTTGAATCTGTTTATATTTTTTATATCTGGTAGCATTTTGTTTTTATTTTTGTGGTTTAATTGGTAACATTGATCACGATGCTGATAGTGTTGTTTTTCTCTCCTTTTTTCTTAATTTCTAAATTATCTTTTGTTTTGATCCCAAGAACAGTGAACAGGTCTGCATGATTTCTCATAAATGCATAATATTAAAGCATCTTTCATAGCCTAATATATGCAAATTTTCCATCAAGTGTTTTACCAAATATGCATTCTCTGAAAGGAAGTGTAATGTATAACTACAATATTTTTCAGATCCCCTCAAATTTGTATTTTTTCTCTAAATCAGAAATGATTTAAAGAAAATATTGACACTGTGACATAATTTTTCACTTCTGTAATTTTTTGTGAAATTTTCTCATTTCTTAGAGATTTTATTATGACATTATACAATATAAAATAAAAATTTTTACGTATCTTTGTGATTGTTACATATCCTCAATAGAGGATAAGTCTTATTTTATGGCTTTAAAGACTTATTTCTATTTTACATTTATTACTGTTTGTATTGCCAGATTTTTCTTTTATTTGCATTTTATTGGTGTCCCTTCAAACCACATATGCTGTATTTTGATTTATGTATCACACATTTGGAGATTTGCTTTCCATAATCAATACATGGTTGGACTTTTTTTAAATATATTCTCATGATTTCTAAAAAAAATCTAGCCTAAGATTTTTGTTTGCCAAGACAAAAAATTGAGTCTACAGGTCAAGATTTCAGATGGATTGTGTCTGCCAACATTTTCCCCTAACTGTCTCTGCAGTATTAGAATAAATAATAGAAATATTAACAAACCCAAAATGAGGCCAGAACATGTCACTATTGATAGAACTAAAAATTAGAGGAGACTTTGATTGAGATTTGACTAAAAAAATAATTCAGGACAAAGAATCTTTTGCCCAACCTTATAAAATTAAAGTTATCTTTAATTATTTCCACTAGAAACACACATAAACTCCAATCCTGCCACCAGTATGCTAAAATGAGTAGAAGTAATTGTGAAACTTTATTACTTATCATTTTAAAAATTCTCATTTATTATAAAATATAAGTGTTTGGAACGTTTCCCCTTCCCTGTGTTTATACAAAAACCTGCCTTTGGGAGAATTGCTTGAACCTGGGGGATGGAGGTTGCAGTGAGCAGAGATCACGCCCCTTCACCCCAGCCTGGGCAAAAGAGTGAAATTCTATCTCAAAAAAAATAAAAGAAAAAGAAAAAGGAAGGAAGGAAGGAAGGAAGGAAGAAAGAAAGAAAGAAAGAAAGAAAGAAAGAAAGAAAGAAAGAAAGAAAGAAAGAGAGAAAGAAAAGCAAGCAAGCCTGCCTTCAGAAATATTTATTACCAGAATGAAGCCCTCACTATATATCAGAATAATTTCACTGGAAGATAAAGACAGGATAATAAGTGCTAATGATTGTGCCTTACTTATGTAGTGCCAGGCACTATGCTTAAGAGCTTTACATAATGAGCAATCCTGAGGTTAGAAAAGAAAAAATAGATGTGAACACACACACTTCTGTGAGTGAAATTGCATGTTAAGAATTAATGCTTAAGTTACATATTGGCAAAATATATTTTCAATTTATGCAACAAGATTTAGGTTAATAGCTATAATTTAAAATGAATGCCTCAACACCAACAAGGAAAAGCCATTATCACAATGTACAATGTAAGTAGGAACAAAGTAGGAATACAAATAACCAATAAATGTATTAAAATTGGGTAAGCCCATCAAAGATCAGAATAAAGAAATAAAAAAATGATTGTACATTTTTCACCAAATAAGATTGGCTACAACATTAAAGTTTTATAATGCCTACTGTTAGTGATAAGTTAAGAAATAATGACTTTCTTATAATGGTGATAAGAAGACGGATTCCTGTCCTACTTGTTACATTGAGTAAAATGGGTATGTTTTCCTATTACAAATCATTTTTATAATATAGGAAAAAAGAAGTAATAAGCATAAATTTCCAGTTAAGTTGGGCCTTCCTTTTTTTAAAGATCAAAAACTCAAAGACTACAGTTGTAGTTTAAATGGTTAAAAAATAAAACTCACCCTAGGAATTTTAAGAAACAAAATCACTGTGGACCAGATTCAGAACAGGAAGACACAGTGGTAACCAGGACTGATTCCACAGCACGCTGAGACCTGGCTCCAGGGATGGCCAGAGGCAGATGGGAGGTGCCTCTGCATCAGAAGCAGAAAAGCAAATATATCCAAAACACCCCAGGTTTGCTCATTTGGGTAGTAGACATATAGGTTCAATTACACTTCTTTATTTCTTTTTTCCTTTCTCCCTTCCTTTCTTCCCCTCTCCCTCCTCTCTCTGTTATTCTCTCTCTCGCTCTTTCTCTTTCTCTCCTTTCTTTCCTGAAAAGTCATGATTTGCTAGTCACAACAATTGCTTTATAATTATGACTCACAAACAACCCATGACTTTCAGTCTATTTCCCAGCTTTCTAAAGTTGGGGTTTAAATAATACCAACCGCAAAATACTTTCATATTAAACAAATTAGATGCCAGTGAAGATCCCAGAGCATTCACATAGTGAATGTGGGATGTAGTCTAAAGTCTATATAGTCTTTATTAGTTTAAGTCTAAAACAGGCAAGAAACAAAGTGATTTTAAGGTGTTTTTAAAATATATATATATTTTTTTTGGTTGAGAGATATACAATCATAGATCTCATTCTTAAACATAATATTTGAAGAGATACACACACACACATGCAAACACACCCCACTACACACACACACACACAAACACACACACACATACATCTTTTCATCTTCTACCACTTAATACAGTTCCATTAACATAATTTCATTTCCCATGATATGGCTTACTAGAAAGTCTAAAAAAAGGTTACCGCAGCATAATTTCTTAAATTTTGACCTCATAAGAAAGTAATAGAACACCCTCTTTCAGAGGGTAGAGGGACTGCAAGAAAGTTAGAAGGTAGAATATGAACTACACTCAATCTCTCAAAATTAGTGAATTATATCTGGATTGTTAAATAAGGAACACCCAACTACATGTTGTTAGACAAATGAGTTGCAATAATTAAAATAGAAATTGTATTTAAGAAGCTTGGAAATTGTATTCTATCAAGTATCCTAGGTAATCATTCTTTGTCACAATTTTCTGTATGATAAAATCAGTAAATTTGCTCTTATAAAAAAAGAGACCTAAATGTATTATTGTACCACTGCACCATGTATTTTATTGTCTATTTTTCCTAACAATAATTACCATATAAGCAGAAGTGATGTGAATACCAGTACAGGTAGGCTGTTATTGTTCTGTTGTTATAAATAATTTCACAATTGAAGTGTCTTCAGCCACTCTTGAAAGTGCGTCATGTCCATCTCTGATTAGCAGGGGAGCTCTACTCCTTTAAACTGAAGGAACAAAGCCAGTTGTTGGCATCTTTGCTAGAAAGAACTTCAGAAGGGTTTTAGAACACCAAATAAATGTGGCAGCCTGGAAGTGATACATTTCAATTATGGTCACAATTCTTTGGCTAACTTAGTCATATGGTCCTACCTAACCTCAGGGGAGGCAGACATACAATCTCACCAAATGCAAATGGAAACCGTAAGATACCACTTTACAATCATTAGGTTGGCTATAATTTTTTTTTATAAAAAGGAAAATCATAAAACAACAAGTGCTGGAGAATGTAGAAAATTGGACCCTTCATCTATTGCTGGAGGGAATGTAAAATAATGCAGTTTGTTTGCAAAGCATTTGGCAGTTCTTCAAAATGTTAAATACAAAGGTATCCTATAACCCCATCATTGTATTCCTAGAGAAATGAAAACGTATGTTCACACCAAAACTTGTGCATGATATACATAGTGTTATTCATAATAGCCAAAAAGCAGAAATGAGATGATCACAAGAGAAACAAAGGTGATATATTCTACAATGGAATATTATTCAGCCAATAACAGGAAACAAGGTACAGACACATGCTACAACATGAAGAAACCAGAGACAAAAGACGGCTAAATGACGAGTTAATGGGTGCAGCACACCAGCATGGCACATGTATTGTGCACATGTACCCTAAAACTTAAAGTGTAACAATAATAATAAAAAAGACTGCATATTACTTGATCGCATTAATGTGAAGTGTCAAGAACAAGCAAAACCACAGAAGCAGAAAGTAGAGTAACAGCTGCCAGGAGCTGTCCCCAACCCCTAGAAAGAAAAGGAGGTTGAGAGAAGGAGGACTTGGGTGTCTTTTAGGGTTTAATGAAATGTTCTAGAATGAGGTAGTGATGAGGGTTGTAAATTATTGTGAATATACTAAAACCCACTGAATTGTATACTTGAAAATGAGTACAAAGGGAAATTTTTGTGTTATGTAAATTTTATCTCAATACAAAAGATAATGAAGAGACAATGTAGTATATTTGTCTCAGAACCAGAGCTAGTAAAGGACAAATAACTCCAAACATACTGTTTCATGCATCTGTGCTTTTACATATTTTATTCTTCTGCTTATAATTAATTTTCCTTAATTTTATTTAATGATTGAATTATTAATTACTCTCATGATTCAGTTTTAAAAACATCTAATTTGAGATGCAGTTGTTATTGATCATTTTCTTCTAGGCTATGCCTCAACCTTGCACAAATTTCTTTAATAGAGCTGCCCATGTTATTTGTAATTGAGTTTTTACATGTCTGCCTCTCTTTAATTTAACTGAACTATTTAAGAACAAATAAAACATTATTAATCATGACTCATATCATTAGTAATTTTGTAGTGCATGAAATATTCTTAAATATATTAATCTATAAATGCTAATGACTTTTATTAATTGAATTGTTTATAATTTATTTTATAAGCTATTTGTTTCGCTCAAAATTATTTTTATATAAATTTCAAATTGAAAAGTTACAAATACTTTAAATTCCAGAGAATATTTTAAAATTGAAAAGCCTTTGTGTATCTCTATATAGTGGCCTTATTTTTCTTTCTTATATCTAGCAAAAGGATAGGTTTGTGCTTGAAACTGTTTGGTTAGGTAAGGTATATTTTGATCTCAACTGTGAATACAAATAGTTCTTTTTCAGTCTAACTCTCTTTAAAAATCAATATTCATAAACCTAAATTCAAATATAAGAGCTATGGAATATTTCTCTATGTAACAATGAGAACTGGCAGAGATGAAAACATTCAAATAACAACTGACATAGTATCCAGAAATATGTAAATAAACATGTCTATGTGGAAGAAGTAAGTGCTTGTTGAATAATAAGTACTTACAATGTTTAAGTGTAGAAGGGGTTAAAGTACATTCATTTCTTCTTAAAGGGTGCTTAATGAGTCATTGATCCAGATAGATGCAGAGTGTATTTGTCTGTATGTTCAGACAGTATAGGTTTAAGGATGGATTCAAAAGTACTCTTCATTGTTAATTTTATCACGTAAATGATTTTCTTCAAGTTTTTAAATTAAACAAAAGTTTATTTTCTGACATTTAACAACACTAAAAGATTAATCTTTTAAAGATTAAACTTTTTTGTACTTTAAAAAATTTCATGTTCTTATTTATTCTGCAAGTAAGTGTTCTCTAGCCTTAGATGACATTTCTTCAAAATTACAAAATAAACCTAAAGGTATTTTTAAAATCTTAAAGTCTATTCTTAATCACCTTTTAAACTATTTAACATTTGTTTCTAACCTTCAGCAATCCTATACAACATTTGTAATCATTTTGTTTTACATTAATTCACTTACAGAAGGTGCTTAGTTAATAAATTTAGTTTTTAAGATGTTATAAAAAATTAATATACAAGTTGCTTTTTTGGAACTCAGAACACATTCTTTGAATTAACTTTAAGAAGTTGTTTAGAATTGCAGTTAGATTTTTTGGCTAGTTTCCACAAACTCTATTTAACCTTTGTTATATGACATTACAGTTTAAAAATGACTGTTTTAAAAATAATATTGATAGCAAAATAAAAGAGTATATTTGTATCTTTATATATATACATCTATAGATACATAGATCTATCTAGAGGTAGATATGGATATATCAATATATATATAGGTATCTAGAAGAAGAGATATATAGTAAAATTAAATATAAGTTATTAACCTTGGCCTGGTATACTATAGTGGAAAAGAACTTTAACATAATAGACCATTTCATGTAGGTTTGGAAAGACCCCTGGAAAATTTTATAGTTTATAGTAGCAACGAAAGTAGTGATAATGGTGATGACGTCCTTAGTGCTTATACCTAGTTTCATATAAACACACATCTATAGTATTAATATCACTATCATCATCTTCATTAACCAGTATACATTTTGTTTTGTTTATTTTTCATGCAGATTGACAAGCTATCAAATTAAAGATACTCCATTGATATTTGGATACATTTTAGATGTCAACAAGATAGATAATAGATTATATATTATAAAATATTTTGTAGAAATAACGTTTGGATTAAAAATCAAGGCTTTTACTCACTTCTTGGTATTACAGAAGCCATTATATTCTGACCTGTCTCCATTCCCTGTGCCTCCTGCTCAATTTTCTTAATTATATGGACATATTGGATTATTTGTTGTTGCCAGTGAACTGAATCTGGTGAGTCAATACATCAATCATTGTTCTGTGTTGCTGGCAACACGGAAAAGTAATCAAATAAGTAATTACAGATAGCCCACATAATCTCTGGGAAAGCCTATAACCAGGCTTGAAGACTACCTCACCTGGAATAATACCCGAAAACACACTGCAGGGATGTGACTCCAATGGCAACACAGTGCAATTCACCACAGCTTGTATCTTTGCGACTGCTGGCTTGGGCATAGACTTCTGCTGCCAGAACCACTGGTGGTGTTGCCTCTAAATTCTAAATGTCCTTGTCTCCGTACCTAGGTGCCAGCCTCTGCACTTGCCTGGTTTTATGATCCAAAGACTGGTTTAGGAGTATCTCATTGGTGAAGCAGAAAGTCACCTGCCTGTACTGTAGCTGCAAGGGAGGCTGAGAAAGTGAGTAGTTCGTACCTGTTGTTTGTGGCAGAGACAGTTTCGCAACTGTTCCTAATATGAGAAAAGTTTTTAAGATTCAATGTTAGTCAAAGAAATGTAAAATGTCCCCTTGATGCAGCAAATTGTTTTGAATAAATGCTCATTAAAATTTTTCATCAAGTGAAGAAAATATTATCTGTTCTTTCCATTGCTCTTACTCTTACACAAATAAGTGTTTAATGAAAATAAACACATATATAATTATATTCATTTATATACTATTTATATGAAATAGATAATTGGGTTCATTGTAAATTGGAATATATTATTATCTCTGTGCAAAAGTAATAATAAGACTAATAATGACTAATAGGCATTTAGAACTATGTTATAATTGGTATGATGTAATGGTGATAGATGGTTAAAAATAGTGCAAGATATTGCTGTGGATAATCTCACCTGAGGGTGAGGAATGAAAGCAATTAAGTAAAGACGATGAGTAATGGTAGCAGTTAAGGAAAGCTATTAGTTCAAATTGAATCCCTCACGGGTATAACAAGTTACATTGTATACTCCAAAAATATACATTCAAATCCTAAACTCTGGTACTGGTGTATGCCTTGTTTGGAAATAGGGTCTATGCAGTTGTAATTAAGTTAAGGACCCCAGGTTAAGATGATTCTGCATTTCGAGTTAGCCTTGGTCCAATGGCTGGTATATAAAAAAGAGAAGAGAGGGAGATTATAGGCACAAGACAGAAGGCCGTGTGAAGCTGGAGGCAGAGACTGGAGTTAACGCTGCCATAAACCAAGAAATGCTGGAAGCTACCAGCAGCTGGAAGAGGCCAGGATTCTCCCCTAGAGCCTTTGGAAGGAACATGGCTATGCCACCACCTTCGTTTCAAATGTCTGGGCTCCAGAAGTCTGAGAGAATAAGTTTCTATAGTTTTTGGCCACTGAGTTTGTGTTAATTTGTTCTGGAAGACCAAGACAACCAATACAATGGTTTGAAATAGGATGGTATTTGTCTAAGAGGTTTTTCTCTACTCGTCTTTTGGTAGATGTGAGGAAGAAAACTTTTGATTACTGGCTGTTCACATGAACAGATAGCTGATAATTTGAGTTGCTCAGGATTTACTTCTACTTTGAGTTGTTTTATGTATTTCATTTCTAGCAAGCTTATCATTTTGTAATTCTATTTTTATACATCTTTAGAAGTGTTGTGTAGCTTTCAAATAAATATCCAAATAGATTTATAAAAGAAGCCGATGGATAAGTTGGAAACCTAGATATTTATTGATAAGAATGGGAGAAATTAGGAAGCTTGAAAAATAAATAAAACATTTGGAATGCATTTATTTCTACAAGTAGTTGTGAAGTTTTAAAAAAAATTTACTGTTTTTCATTTAAGTTTGCAAAGTAAGTATTGCAACTAAAGAATAGTTTGAGGACAACTGGTGATCACACATACAGCAAGCAACAAAAACAATGATGAAAGGATTAGAGATAGTAAAACAAAATGGAAAGACAAACCCATCATCATGATGGCATGGCAACTATGTTGAAGATTTTGACCTTTAGATACAGTCCATGTAAGTCACCTTCACTTTATGTTGGATTGTAATACCTTGCTGGTTCTACTTAAGGAGAGAATCATGGAAATGTGTCAGGTCACACACACAAATTCAGTTGTATAAAATGCTACCCTGAGTAGGGATATAAAAAATGGGAGGGAATCAGAACAACACATAGATATATTGTAAGGAAAGTACCAGCAGGGCATGAAAGTGACACAATGGAGTAAGAAAAGAAAATTGTGAAAGACCGATACTCCCCTTCCTAGCTTGGCTGATTGGAAGAATGACAATGTGATTGGCAGAAATGGTAATAAAAAGAAACAGAGGAAGATTATGTGAGCTCTTTCTAAATGACTATCTTTGACAGAACCTACTAAGGAATGCTAAAGCGTTTAATTGATTAAACATTTTTCCTCCTGGTCTCTATAATAGCATTCCTGAAACGAGTCAATAATGCCAGTTTCATTCAAGTTGATGATGTAGGTGTCGGGATGAGATGATTTGTGAAGTATTCCCATACAGCACCTCTGTAGCACCTCCAAAGAGTGACTGTCTCATTTTTTCTTATGAGTTTTAGAGATGCTCTTGCAGAGTGGAAGGGATTTTTCTTGTTTCTGGCATTAATTTTAAAAGCCCATGAGAGATGAAGATGGAAGACTTGAAAGTACGTATTAGATGGCAGAATTGTTCTCTCCCTGCCTCTCACATCATATTTTTCATGGCTAAGATCAAATCCTTCAAGTCATGGATTGAGATATGCAGATTTGGAGTGAAAGCAAGTTGTTCAGGGCAATAGGATGGCTGTGGGGCTGGAGGATTTTTACAGACGGGAGAGAATATCATTTTCAGATAATGATGAGGATATGAGTGTCAAGAACGTTATACTCCAGTTTCTGCCTGGATCCTGGGAGGTGATGTATAAAGAGTATTCCTGTTTGAGCTGCCAAAGGGGCAAAGCAGAAATTACTGCATCTACCCTCAATATTCTGCACCCTACCATGGGGGCAGGGAGGGCACCCACGTTTATCTGGGGTGAGCAAAAGTTAACTAAATGTTAGACATGGTGCTATAGGAGATCAGAATTGAGGCATTTTTGCTAATCCAAGATTCAGTTTCTAATTTCATTTTATTTCAGAACAGTTCTTTACCCATCCATGAGAGTAAGATATACTTACTCCTCTGAGCTTCCATGCAATCCTGTATATTATATTCCAAATATTATGTATTTTCTACCTTATTAAAATGTAAAGCTGTGAGGAGAGTTTTAGTTCTTCAGCCAAATAGTCCCAATATATGAAATTGATCAGACCATCCATATAGATTATGGTATTCTATTGCCTGAAGTAGTAAATATTTATTTCTGAGGGAAACCTGTGATACCCCTTTTCTATGGGCATCAGTCTACCCTTTCTACAATCCCTTGGAATTTCTTTGCATTTTCAACTGCCATTTCCAATCAGTTTTATCTGCCTGGTCTTCATTAACACAAATAGAATCTATTATAATAGTTTTTAAGTCATTTTCCCTGCTTCTAGTCTTTTCTTCCTCAATTTCTGCTTACCTTAGAAGCATAGATTTCCCAAAGTTCTGTTAGTCTCAAATTTTTTCTAGTAACTACAGAAGAATTATCCTGTTATAGCCTGGTCTTAAAGACCTACATTTGCTTGAAGAAATCTGCTTCATCTTATTGCTCTATTATTGCCTTCGCAATTCATTTCTGAGTAATGAACCTCCTGTTAGGAAGGACACTATCACTCGTTTTACTCTCTGCATCTAAGAATACTTCCCCTGTATCCGATTCATGACCATTCTTTAATTCAATGCACTTTAATTTAGTGCACTTTGTATGTCACTCATGAATCATTTCGTACGTCCTTACAACTAGGATTTCTCAACCTCAGCCATAATGCTATTTTGAGCAGGATAATTCTATGGTAGGGGAAAGAGGACTATCCTGCGCATTGTGGGCTGTTTAATAGCATTTCTAGCCTCCACCCACTAGATGCCAGCAGCTCCTCCACACCCAAAGTGCGACAACTGAAGGGAATGCCACTTTGGCATAAGGATTATTTTGAGCTGAAGGTAATTAAAAAACAACAGCAATTGAGAAACCACAGTAAGAACTATCTGCCTTCATTCTATCTGATGAAAATTAAAGCACAAATTTCCTTTTTATAAAGGGATACTTTTATTTGTAAAGGTCCCCCACTCCCATGCCCAGGAGAGGAAAATGACTCTTATCACTAGAGATGGTACCAAGATGTGTCTGGTTTACAAAGAAGCCTTATCTACCATTAGTTTACCCCATACATTTTCTTGTCATCATTCCCCAAGTTACCTCTCTGGGAACCAAAACCTCACTTTCTTTTATCTAGTCACTTTCCCACAATGTATCCCTCTTTACTGCCCCTTTGGGCTTACCCTGCTTCTAGTCACTTTCCTACTTCTAGTCTTTTCTTCCTCAATCTCTGCTTACCCTATCAGCTTAAATATTTATTTTTGTGAAATGCTCCATGCACATAAAACATCAATAAAGTTTACATGACTTTTCTCCTGTTAATTTATCTTTTGAATTTAGTTCACAGGATCCCAGAGTCAGAACCTGAGAAAGTAGTGGAAAAGTTTTTTCCCTCCTCTATACTTACGAAAATTGTTTCCGGACTTTGCCAAGTATTTCTTGGGGATGGAATTATCTCTGATGGAGAAACACTGCTCTAAACAATAATCTTTTGAGATTAAAAGAAAAGTTCACTACATTTGTGTAGCTCTTAACATGTTACAAGCTATTTTGTAAAATAAGCTTCTTTATTCCTTACTACAGTGCCATGTATGTATCATTAGGACCTTACAGATGATAGACACAAGGACATAGAATTTGGTAGCTGGCTAGTTTAGTATTCTTTCTACCATTCAATGGTATATAGAGTCTGTATGAATCACTCCTGACTTAATCACAATCTACTTTGTGGGATGTCTTCTTACATCCTTAAACTCTTGGATTACGTTTTGTTCTTGGTAGTTACTGTTTCTGTCTATGAATAGATTGCAAGCAACTTGAAGGAAATAATTATTATTACATAAAAAACATTGGGTATACAGCAGGAATGTTATCTGCCCCATTCACTTAATATTAAAGAAGGAAATTACCTTCTATCAATAGCTAGCATAATCCTTTGCATATAGTAACTGCTCAATCAACATCTAATGAAATATTTAAAGAATACTGATGAGCATCCTTAGTCACGTATGTGAATTAAACAACATTTTTCTTGTTGGAAACTTCTTCAGGTTTTTTTTTTCTTCTTCTTAGAGCACATTTTCCTCGGATTCCTTGTTCTCATGTCTCAGTCCCTTCATGATCTATCTGTGAATTAAAGGATCCATTCAGAACCTCTTGTTAAAACTTCCCATCAACTCCTCTGTGCACTAATTTCCATGTTTTACAAAAATCTATTTTTATCCAAAATTCATGAAAAGATTCATTTCCTTAGAATAGCTAATCTTTGAAATTTGAAAGAAGTAATTAGACGCTATAATAGGTAACTACTGAGTTAATCAATGAATGGTTGTAGGGGCATCTGAGATACGAAAGTGATCCTATTGTGAACCAAAGCAAGAGGTTATTTTTTTTTCTACATTTCATCCAGGTACCTTCGGGAAAAATAATTTTGCAATAAAAAATCAGATGATATAAAAAGGGAAACTGTTACTAAAGTAAATGATTTTGAGATGGACTCATTGGAAAAGAGTGAATAAAAAGTTGAGTTTCCTGAATGTAAGAGGGTAATGGATTAGTAACAGAGATGATTCTGAATTTTTGGCCAGAGTGACCATGAGAATGAGGATATTAAATAAAATGCATCTGTAAAAATTAATTTAGTTTGAAATGAACATATTCAAATTGATTGTTAAACTGCATGAAGGTTACTTTGAATCTAATAGATGAATATCTATGAGAAGGGAGGGTACATTAAGAAGAGAGTCCCCAAGCACACAACTCTGTCAAAACCTCTAGTATGTGATATAAATATAATAAAATGTGTGAGCAAGGGGAAATAAAAATGGAAAAAAAAATTTCTTATTACTGAAAACATTTCATTTCTGCAAGAAAAATCAAGAGTTGGCCGGGCATGGTGGCTCAACGCCTGTATTCCCAGCACTTTGGGAGGTCCAGGCAGGTGGATCACAAGGTCAAGAGACAGAGACCATCCTGGCCAACATGCTGAAACCCCGTCTCTACTAAAAATACAAAAATTAACTGGGCATGGTGGCGCATGCCTGTAGTCCTAGCTACTTGGGAGGCTGAAGCAGGAGAATCACTTGAATCTGGGAGGTGGAGGTTGCAGGGAGCCGAGATTGCACCACTATACTCCAGCCTGGGCAACAGAGTGAGACTCCATCTTAAAACAAACATACAAAAAACAAACAAACAAAAAAAGAATAAAGAGTTAAATAAGCCTAATTAAGCATAATTACACTTATGGAAATTCATTAGGAACAATTTAAAACTAAAAGTTAAAAAAGTCTATTTCTATCAAAAATTGTTTTTTCTAACAGAAGAGGACTTTAATTATTATGTTGTGTCACTCATAGGAACCAGAGTATATTTCAAGATGATTGATTGCAGCTGGATTTGAGAGCAATTCTCATTTTCCCTGTTTCAGATTTCATGCTAAATCTAGGAAACAGACACAATAGTTTGTAACAGAATATTCATCAACATGGACTGACTTAGAGTTTCATGACGAATCAGGGGATTTATTCAACTTTCATCTTACTGAAGAAAATGCTTTTGAATGTATCATTTGTAGAAAATTAACCTATGGTGATTGCGGTGAAGTATTTTGAAAATTCTGTGGTGACTTTTTTTTTAATATACAAAGATAGAAATGATGCAGAGGAAGTCACCATGGAAAGCCTTTCTGAGGTTAGACCTTTGAAAGGTCTTGCCGTGACTAAAGATAAT
This sequence comes from Homo sapiens, assembly GCF_000001405.40. Lineage (NCBI taxonomy): Eukaryota > Metazoa > Chordata > Mammalia > Primates > Hominidae > Homo > Homo sapiens. The sequence goes on along the minus strand of NC_000004.12, from coordinate 179,894,357 downwards.
TCACATTTGCTCACAATAGTTTTCTCTATATCATATTCCACATTTTCTTAAACTGAACCATCTTTCCCAGAATTAAATTAGAACAGATTTAAAATGCACATACCCTGGTCACTTGGCAATATTTCTTCCTTTGTCAAAAGTAGTTAGCAATAAATATGTTGTAGCATTGCCATGTTCCATATGGGAAACTGCTCAAACACTGGGAAAAACTGACTCATACTTTAAAAATCTCAATGGCTAGAATATGGTTAAACATGCATTTTCTAAAGATAATGAAAAATATAAGCCCTAAGCTGTCTTATGATTGAGATCATTTCCCAAAAGCACGATTGCTTAACTCATTTAAAATTTCGCTAAACACTAAAGAATATGTTACACCAAATAATCTTTCACTAATACGTAGACCAAGATGGGCCAATTGGCCTTTTATAATTCTAATTTCTATAATTCCATGAATTCAATACAGTGTACCCAAACTCTCAAAGGTAATGCAGTGTTGAATCAATACAAATGAACTGTAATGAAAATGGAGCATTTCCTGCATCATGTGTTCAAAAGTAAGACTTTCTGACCTTATTGTGCTAAGGATATGTAAGGTTATTTAACGTAGCTTTTGCCTCTTTTCATTGTGGCAAAAGTTTTGGCAGCATGACCTTATGAACCCCTTTTCCTCCCACCCCTACATATGCCATTTTTGTGGACTGGTTTTCTATATGATGCCCAGAAATTCAGAGCATTTTGAAGAGGTTATTCCACGCAGCTCTTGAAGTTAACAGTTTATAATTTTGAGGTCAGACTTGTATGCATTTTAAAGGATACACTCCTCATTTTTAAAGCAGCATTCATGATGACAACAGGAAGACAATTTGGTTCTATCTTCTTATGTCAAGAATGAATATTGCCTTGATCGAAATATTTGGAGATTTAAACAGATGACTTTAATTTATAATGCATATCTTGTAAGCTTGCTCTAGTTTGCTAAGATGGTTACTTGTAAATTAAAACAAACAAGAAGCAGCAAAAAATAAACAAATGGTTTAACAGTATGCATAGCAAAACTTTTATGAACGTTTTCCCCGAAACTTATGTGCTAAGACAGCTTTGTAACAAAAGCAACCAAAAAGAGTTTAATGTTTTAGTGTATTTACTAAAAAACAGATTCACAAGTTTAGTCAAGCAAATGTTTAAAAACTATTTTCTGAGTTTATAGAACGTCTTCCTGCTCTTTATGCTGTGAACCAAAAGAACAATAACTAGCAGAGAGGCTGCAATTTTAGAAGTGCTTAAAACATATGATGAAATAAATGAAGGCATTGCAAAATAAAGATTAAATACATATGAATAAAAGGGAATATAAAATTTACATATGTATGCATATATTATACTGGATTTTTTTTCATATAATATATTTGATATGGTTTGGCTCTGTGTCTCCACCAAAATCTCATCTCTAATAGAAATCCCCCCGTGACAAGGGAGGAACCTGGTGGGAGGTGGTTGGATCATGGGGCAGTTTACCTCACACTGTTCTCATGATAGAGAGGAAGTTCTCACGAGAGCAGATGGTGTAAAAATGGCCGTTTCCTCTGCACCTTGTCTCTCTCCTGCGACCATGTAAGATGTGCCTTGCTTCCTCTTCCCCTTCCACCATGATTGTAAGTTTCCTGAGACCTCCCCAGCTATGTGGAACTGTGAGTCCACTAAACCTCTTTCCTTTATAATTTACACTGTCTCAGGTAGCTTATTTGTAGCAGTGTGAAAACTGATACAGTATTATTGAATGAAATGTGTTTTCTATATATTATATACATTTACATGAATATTTTCTATAAGCATTCCTCTTTGCTACAGTGGCTTCATGAGTAATAAATTTACAGTATGATATAGCCAACTGATTTGAAGATAGGCTCTGGGGAAAACCTGACAGTAGTTCATAGTTCACCTTGACCATTTTCTAGCTGTATTTCCATGGTTAAGCTATTTATACTAAGATTCTGTTTTCTTATTTATCAAAGAAGAATGATAGTTTCTACCTTTCTATTTTTTGTGCATATTCTCTTATATATAAGGTATACTAAAAAAGCTTATCACATTGACTAATGCAGATTAAGCCCCAAAAAGTTGATATTATTATATAATCATTGTATTATTTGATTTACATTCAAACTTTGTGTCTTAGTAATAAAACACAAACAAACAAAACAATAAGATGCTGTTGTTTTTTATTATTTATTTATAATATAGTAAATATTTTAAATTTAGGAAAGTTTTTTAAAAATTCTTTCAATGTAAGCTTTATGTAAATTTATATAGCACAATCTACTTCTTTTTCACTATTGCATTAAATACAGAGTTTTATATCTAGTATTATTTAAATTCACTGAATGGTATTTGTCATAGATAAATATTTCAAACACTGAAAAGAAAACAGTATTTTATTAATGATTTTTAAATTTTATAAAGCAAATATATTCTGCAATAACTTTGATGAATACATTTGACAACCATTGACACAAGTCTTTTGAGAATCCTTTAGAGGAAAATATATATTAGCAAATTATTTTAGGATAAAATGGTTATAAAATATTTTGCTTTCTGAAATCATAAATCTGTAGTCTTAATATATATTCCTTCTCAAGTTTTGGATTTTCTTTTTGCTGCATTGCTAATTGGAGATTTGCAGAACAATATTTTTCATGAAGAGCATACATTCTCTACTCTGACAATTGTTGCATTCTTCAAATCTAGGTGAAAAAACCTAAAATGAAGATGTTTCTGTCTTTTGTAGAATCCTTAATAGATAGGAATCAATTGTAAACTAAGCTTAGCAAACTCTATTCCACACTCGCCATTTTGTTGCCATTGGGGTTTATGAATGACCTGCATTATATCATTACTCTGAAAGCAAAAGTTGGTATACATGCTCTGTTGGTAAACTTTCTAATAATTTTCAGTTGGTGAAATTGATATAATCTGGTATGATACAAAGATTTTTAAAAGTTTATTTTCAATAATTTGTTAACAGTATTAAATGAATTCATCACATACACCTAAAACTTGACCAATTAATGAAATATATTGGAAAGATTAATAATCTGGCATCCCTGAAAACATTATTACTTAAATATTTATCCAACATTTATGTAAAACAAAGACCAAGCAATGCAGAGGGCAGGGTAGAATAGGAGAACAGGTGTCTGTACTCTCCTATAATGTGTTGTCCCTAAGAGTTCCACATTTGCCCTAAAGTTGCATGTCCCACACAGCAATGTCTTGGCTGGTCTTTGCTGGTCACACCATCTTATTTAGTAGGGTCCCAACATGCCCAAGCTTTTAGAACAAAGCTTTCCTCCCATTTCCATATATTGTGCAGAGGAAACTAAGCAATGGAGTTCATGAAAAAGTCTCTAGCATTGCCTGACACATAAGAAGCAGCTCTGAGATGTGTTCTGATAAACAGGATTTTCTACATTTCCCGCACATAACATTTAGCATTCCAAAGAAACATTAGTACCATCTGTAAATTGGCATTCCAGGAACATGCCCAGCTGACCCACTGTCTAGCCCTCATCTGCCTGGATCTTATTGTAAAGAAGCAAAAGATAAGATTTGTCGTATATGTAGGTGACATGAGTTTATAATAAGTTAGAAATGATAATGAAAATCTTATAAGTAATGTTACCTAATTTTACAGAATAAGTAAGTTTTTTCTTCATTTTAAACTGAAAAATATTTAACAAATTGTCCAAACTTTCATAGGTATTTATAAATATAGAAATGAAGTTGAAACCTAAATATGTCTGAATTCATAGCCCACTGTCTAAAAATGGACAGTCTACGGAATCTCACTAACTTTAAGAAATGGCAGATATTGTCATCCAAATCTTGCTGAAAAGAAAAGCCTTAGATAAATTCTTCTGGAGAAAAACACAATTTCTCAAAAGATAGAACTGGTTTCTGGCTAAAAACTCAGTAGAACCACCCAGTATATTCAGGTATCTAAAGATACAACTTAATCTCCACTCAATTTATGTTGAAAAGTTCACCAGTTATGCTATTTTTTATATGCCTGAAGTCAATATTTGCTGAAAACTGCTTTAAAATTGTTTAGATTTAAAAAATGGTACAACCATGACCTTTTGCCTAGACTTATCCATTCAAACATCAGATAAGGCAGATCTCAAACTGTTTACTGAGGAAAATCTTGAACGTGACCACAGGGCATCTTATCTCATAACTTGTTATTTGTTAGAATATCATTTAATAAATTCTTACATGTCTGGAACTATGCTAGATTATGAGTATTTGTCGGTAAATAAAATACTTTTACATTATCCACAGGAAGTATATATTAGAGAAGAGAGGGGATGATAGGTGAATAACAAATTAATACGAGTTACACTTGTGATGAACAAGATGAAGAAAATAAAATATATTAGTTATTTAGAATAACAAAGAAGAGGAACCAAACTCTAAAGTTGGTCAGCTTGGGGAATCTGAGAAAGTTACCTTTAGGCCACCACTGAAGGATGGAAAGAAGTCACCTCTACCAAGAACTGTGAGAAGAACATTCCAAGTAGAAGTAACCCTTTGGATAATCCCAAGATTGGAAACCTTTCTAGCAAGTGAAAGAATCCCAGTGTGACTGAAGTAGAGTGGACAAAAAGAAACATATGATGAGGTTGTCTAATGGCCAAATCATGTGAAGCCTTATAAAATATTTGCTTACTCATTACATATATGTTTTTAGAATACCTGTTGAAAGCCGACATTCTTGAAATTAGTCCAGTGAAAAATAACAATGGTTATAGCCAAGATGACGACCATGAAGTGTAGAGAACTGGATACTTTTGAGATACATTGAGGATGTAAAAAATATGACTTACTGAACATGTCGGTGTAAGCAACAGAGAAAAAATGTGAATACACATTGAATCCCTGATGAAGCAACAGAATGTATAGTGCTATAATTTACTGGAAGGGAGCAGGATTTGAAGAGATAGCTGAGGAGAGAAATCAAGATTTACTTTGGGGACATGTTGAGTTTGATGTCACTATTTCAATGTGACACTTCAAAGAAGACATCACTAATTAGACTGCTGGATACATAAAAGAGGCATGTACTAGTGTACCCTATCTGGCAATTTTAACATTTAGATGTTATACATGTGGGAGTTGTGTGTAGTCTTGTATTTAGGCAAACATGTTCATTGGGCTTTGACACTTTGATAAGGTACTGTCATCCTAATTACCAGGATTCATTATAGCAGTCTTGACTGGCCGTGTAGACTATCTGCATTACTAATAATTACAGTGTGCAATCCTGAACATATTGTTACTTAACAATAACCAAAATATTGATTGTGAAAAATATTTTTGAGAATAATTTAGAAAACTTGAAAAATCTTCCAGTTTTTGGAAGCCCAAGAAACCATGTAAATCAGTCTCCTGGATGGAACCAAGATTATATAGCTGCTGCATAATTTAACTGTATTTAATGTTGGTAGAAAAACAGTATTTTGACTGGATGTGTTTCTATTATAAGACATATTTTGTTTTCTATTTCTATTTTTATTTTTGGAGAGAGGGTCTCACTCTATTCCCCAGGCTGGAGTGCAGTGGCACGATCTTGGCTCACTGCAAACTCCACCTCCCTGGTTCAATTTATTCTCATGCCTCAGCCTTCCGAGTAGCTGGGATTACAGGCACCTGCCACCACACCCAGCTGATTTTTGGTATTTTTAGTAGAGAGAGGGTTTCACTATGTTGGCCAGGCTGGTCTTGAACTCCTGGCCTCAAGTGATCTGCCTGCCTTGGCCTCCCAAAGTGCTGGGATTACAGGCACGAGCCACTGTGCTCAGCCTATTTTTTCTATGTTTAAATTTGATTTTTAAACTTAGTTTCAGGGAGTACATGTGCATGCTTGTTGTGTGGATATATTGTGTGATCCCGTGGGCTTCTAATGATCCCTTGACCCAAGTAGCAAACATGAAACCCAGTAGGTAGTTTTTCATCCCTTGCCCCTCTCAATTACCATTTTTGTGTCCATGCATGCCCAGTGTTTAGCTCCCACTTATAACTGAGAACATGCAGTTATTTGGTTTCCTGTTCCTGCATTAATTCGCTTACGATAATGGCCTCCAGATGCATCCGTGTTGCTGCAAAGGACATGATTTTGTTCTTTTTTTATAGTTGTGTAATATTCCATGGTGTATAAGTACCACATTTTCTTTATTCAGTCCTCTCTCTGTAGGTGCCTTGGTTGATTCCATGTCTTTGCTACTGTGAATAGTGCTGTGATAAACATATGAGTGCAGGTGTATTTTTCAAAAGGCAATTTCTTTTCCTTTGGGTATATACCCAGTAACGGAATTGCTGGGTTGAATGGTAATTGTGTTATTAGCCTTTAAGAAATCTCCAAACTACTTGTTTTCTGCGGGGACTGAACACATTTAAATTTCCATCAGCTGTATATGAGTTCACTTTTCTCCACAACCTCATCAATATCTGTGATTTTTTGACTTGTCAATAATAGCCATTCTGACTGATGAGAGATGGTATCTCATTGTGGTTTTGATTTGGATCTCTCTGATGATTAGTGATGTTGAACATTTTTTTCATGGTTTTTGACTACTCATATGTCTCCTTTGGAGAAGTATATGTTCCTGTCCTTTTCTCACTTTTTAATGAGGTTATTTGATCATTTTCTTGTTGATCTGTTTAAGTTCCTTATAACATCATGTTAAAATATTCCTTATAATATTTTATAAGGAACTAAACATATCAAGATGCATAGTTTGAAAATATATTTGGATGCATAGTTTGCAAATAATTTCTCCCATTCTTGAGGTAGACACTTTACTCTGTTGATAGTTTCTTTTCCCATGCAGAAGCTCCTTAATTTAATTGGGTCTCATTTTTCTACATTGATTTTGCTGCATTTGCTTTGGGAGTCTTCATCATAACTTCTTTGCCTTGGCCAATGACTGGAAGAGGATTTCCTAGGTTTTTTTTCTAGGATTTTTATAGTTTGAGATCTTACATTTAAGTCTTTAATCATCTTGAGTACATTTTTGCATGTGGTGACAGGTAGGGGTCTAATTTTATTCTTCTCCATATGGTTAGTCTGTTATCCCAGCACCATTGATTAAACAGGATATCTTTCTCCATTGCTTATTTTTGTTGACTTTGGCAAAAATCAGTTTGTTGTAGGTGTTCAGCTTTATTTCAATGGTCTCTTTTCTGTTCCATTGGTATATGTCTCTATTTTTGTACCAGTACTATGATGTTTTGGTTACTGTAGCTTTGCAGTATAATTTGAAGTCAGGTAATGTGATGCCTCTGGATTTATTCTTTTTGCTTGGGATTGCCTTGGTTATATGAGCTTTTTGGGGGGTTCCATATGAATGTTAGAATAGTTTTTTCTAATTCTGTGAAAAATGATGTTGGTAATTTATGGGAATAACATTGAATCTGTAGATTGCTTTAGAGAGTATAAACATTTTAATTATATTGATTCTTTCACAACATGAAGATGGAATTGCTTTTCTTTTTTTTTTTTCCTCAGAAATCTTTTGTCTTTTTGGTTAGATGTATTCCTATGCATTTTATTTTTTATTTTCTGCGGCTATTGTAAATGAGATTGCGTTCTTGATTTGGTTCTCAGACTGAATGTTATTGGGGTATAGAAATGCTACTGATCTTTGTACTTTGATTTTGTATCCTGATACTTTTCTGAAGTCTTTTATCAGGTCTAGGAGTCTTTTGACAGCATTTTAAGTGTGTTCTAGGTATAGAAACACATTGCCATCAAAGAAAGGTAATTTGATTTCCTCCTTTCCTGTTTGGATGCCTTTTATTTCTTTCACTTGTCTGATTGCTCTGGCTAGAAATATATGTTATTTTAACTAACATACTCAAGTATCACAACAGAATTTAGCATACTTATTATTTGAAATATTGACCTATATAATAGGTAGTAAGGGGTAACTATTTGAAAAGATAGCCCAATATGCATCTCAAATAACAAAATTGAAAGTGAAGAGAAATAAATATTCAATTTAATGAAAATTTGAGGCCATGCATCTGCATATTTATCCTAATCTGGCAAGAGTAGCCTTCACGTAACCTGTTTATCTACCATCACTCACCCTCCAATCTTTTTTTTTTTTTTTTTTTTGGAGAGGAGTTTTGCTCTTGTTGCCCAAGCTGGAGTACAATAGTGTGATCTTGGCCCACTGCAACCTCTGCCTCCTGATTCAAGCAATCCTCCTGCCTCAGCCTCCCAAGTAGCTGGGATTACAGGCATGCACCTCCATGCCCGGCTAATTTTGTATTTTTAGTAGAGTCAGGGTTTCACCATGTTGGTCAGGCTGGTCTCAAACTCCTGATGTCAAGTGATCCACCTGCCTCGGCCTCCCAAAGTGCTGGGATTGCAGGCGTAAGCCACCGTGCCCGGCCCCTCCATTCTTAATTCAAGGTGATATCCCAATACTCTGCAAACCATTTTCCAGACAAATCTTTTTCCCTACAAGTATAATCTCAGCATTTCATTTCCTTTTTTATTAACCAGGCTAAACCTTTCCCCATATCAAATCACATGCTACATTTAACCTGTTAAAAAATCAAGACCAAATGTAAAATATAAACTTTTAAAGCCACTATGTAGACTTGATTTCAGACAAAGGCAAAAAAACATTTTTTATATCTCTACTAAATATTTGATATAAAATCTATTTATCTTTTTCTACAGTGTAAAAAGCAACTAAATATATTAATATCGAGGGTTAAATGTAGAAATTGATTTCAAGAATCTTAAATTTGTTAGGATATTTTCTCTGTTTCTTAAAAGTTAAAGCTGTATTTACCATAGATTAAGAACGCCTTGTTTTTTTTTTTGTTGTTGTTGTTGTTCTTGTTGTTGTTGCTTGTTTTTGTTTTTTACATTTGGCCCTAGTTAGGCCTGTTGAAAATAGTTACAATACTCACTGATCCAATTAGATTAAATGAAAGTCAGTGACAATGATTGGTCAAAGACCAGATTGTAATTTATTGAGCAGATATCCCTATTTCTATGGGCTTTCATCAAAAACGTAAGACAAAGCAGACCCTTCAGAAACAGAAATATGTCTGACTGCATTTCCATGGAGATCTATTATTAAGAACAGAGTTGGGGGAATGATGATGCCATGAGACAGAGACAAGGAATGCACACTTGTGTTGTTCCGTCGTTGGGTAGGCCTGTTTGTGGATCTCAAATGCCTTGTTTTTTGTTCTTTGGCCTCAGCCATTATGTAGGCTCCAGTCAAGCCTTAATTTTCTCTCTTTCTGATAATAGCTTTATTTCATTGGGATCATATCCTAGATGATAGATGTCACAGTCAGTGGTTAAAGAGCATTGTAGGCAGAGCTGAGTGGCCTGCTTCCATGTGTAAAGAAAGGGTGAGAGGGGAAGAGGGGTAAAGCCCCCTGCAAGTAGACCAAGAGTCAGAAACCTGCTACAGGGAAAGAAGATTTTATGCAGTGACAATCAAATTGTCCCTATTTATTACTGAGTGCCTCTTTTTACAGAAAGAAACCTGTGTAATTTGTCTGGCTTCATTAGAAAAAGTGAAGCAATCAAATTAAAAATATAAAAGGAGTATCCACATAAACTTAGAAACAAACAATGTACACAATTCGCTTATTGAAATAATTATTGTAGTTACCACTTCTATTTCCCTCCATAATTTCCACTGGGTATTTTAAAATTGATTGTGAAAATTAATTGATTTTATATTTGGTGACATTTTATTAATTCTAAAATACATACACATATTTTAATATTTATCTTCAAAATGTTTAATATTCATATTGTATTTATATATGAATATATTTATATTGTGCCATAATAATATATCCAATTCAAGTATATTCCTTTATAGTTATTTTCTAAAGTATAAGAAAATTGTGAATCAGAATCCCTTCTTAAGCAGAAGGAGCTATGTTTTTATTTGAAGGTAGAGTGATTTGGTATTTAAATGAGAACTTGGTAAACTCAAAGGGCTTTTGTTTTTTGTTTGGTTGCTGTTATTCATGTAAGCAGAGGTTATATTCTTTGAATTTCACATTTAATTTCTCAAAAATAAGTTATTTTTGAATAGGTTTTTCCACTTCAAAGACTTCAAGAAAACAGAAGGCAGACAGAGATATACCAATGGTTCAAAAGGGAGCTGGTCATGATTAAAATACGTTACCTGTAGGAGAGATTAAACCACCCTGATGACTGTAGTATGAAACCTTTCACAAATAATGAAAAGGAAAAAAAGAGATTAAATATATATTGTTTTACTTAGAAGAACTAGAATCTGTATACAATAACTAAATGGCTTTGTTGAATAACATTTGCTATAAAACATAGAAATAAAAGATCAATAGAAGAGTATTAGAAAACAGTTGCACTATGAACAATAACAACACTGAAATAATAAATTCAAACACAATGTAAGTTAGAGTGATATCTTTATGTCTGCTGTCTTAACAGCTAATACCTATTGTCTATGTTGTGATCTATTGATTATTCTATAATTTGCTCCTTTCTTGGCAAGGAGGTGTTGTGGAATCCAGAAGAAACAGAAGCAAGTAATATATGTCATATATTTTCAATGTTCCAGAAGAAGTTTCTTTGATTGAACTCCTAAGGTGAGTCTAAGAATCCACAGCACAGGCCTGAACAGAGGCCGAGAGTGAGTGTAAAACCCTCAGCTATTCTCCTGTAGGAGTCAGGGCCACAAACAATGTAAAAGAACAATAAATTGAGGCCGGGCATGGTGGCTCACGCCTGTAATCCCAGCACTTTGGAAGGCCGAGGCGGGCGGATCACGAGGTCAGGAGTTCGAGACCAGTCTGACCAACTGGTGAAACCCCATCTCTACTAAAAATACAAAAATTAGCCGGGCGTGGTGGTGTGCGCCTGTAATCCCAGCTACTCAGGAAGCTGAGATAGGAGAAATGCTTGAACCTGGGAGGCGGAGGTTGCAGCGAGCAGAGATGGCGCCACTGCGCTCCAGCTTGAGCGACAGAGGTACTAGACTCCGTCAAAAAAAAAAAAAAAAAAAAAAAGAAAAGAAAAAGAGAACAATAAATTGAACCGGATAACCTGATTTTGTGCCTGTAATTTATCCACGTATAAGAAATACCTAACTGAATACAGAAGTATTCAGCAGGCTTACTTATCCTGGAGACATAACGAGGAAGGTGGGCTCTGAAGTTAAAATTATGTGACATGGGAAATAGGTGTGAGACTGCAAGGGTGCATTTAAGGAAAAAAATTCTCAGTACAGTTCACCCTCATTATTCATGAATTCCACATTTGCAAATTTGCTTATCTATAAAATTTATTTGTAACCCCCAAATCAATATTTTTGGTGCTTTAGCAGCAATTCACGGACGTACAAAGTGACAAAAAGTTTGAGTCACTCAAGATGCACGTTGCCAATGAACAAAGTGACTTTCTGTCTTCTTGTTTCAGCTCTTATACTCTACACAACTGTCCTTTTCACGATCTGTCTAGTGCTGTATTTCTCACACTTCTGTGCTTAATGTTGACTATTTCAATGTTAAAACTTCCCCCAAGCGTAGTGCTGAAGGGCTGTCTCCTACTCCTAATCTCCAGAACTGGCTGCAACGTGACTGATGGAAACATGTGTGATATATAAGCTTTGTTAGGGGTGTGTTACAGTGCTGTTGGCTGTCAATTGAACGTTAATGAATCGACAACATATATTCAGAAAGTTGTCTTTAAACAGAAACAAACATAAAGCAATGTTATTTATTGATCAATTGATGAAAATCAGTAATCAAATGCTTGCAGGAAACCTACCCCTTTATTTTTCCTCAAAGCAGTGGTTCAACTACTGCTAATACAGTGTTTGTAGCAACGTTATAAAACGTAATTCCCATGAATAACATGAATCAACTGTATATGGGTGTGTTAATCTGCTAGGGTTGATGTAACAAAGTATCCCAGACTAGGTGCCTTCGACAACAAGAAATTTATTTTCTGACAGTTCTGAAGTTTAGAAATCCAAGATCAAGGAGTCAGCAGGTTTGGTTTCTCCTGAAGCCTCTGTCACTTGAGGATCCCCCCTTTTTTTTTTTCTTTTCTTTTCTTTTTTTTCTTTTTTTGAGACAGAGTCTCGCTCTGTCGCCCAGGCTGGAGTGCAGTGGCATGATCTTGGCTCACTGCAGCCTCAGTCTCCTAGGTTCAAGTGATTCTCCTGCCTCAGCCTCCTGAGTAGCTGGGATTACAGGCACATGCCACCATGCTTGGCTAATTTTTGTATTTTTAATAGAGACAGGATTTCACCATGTTGGCCAGGCTGGTCTCAAACTCCTGACCTCGTGATCCGCCAGCCTCGGCCTCCTAAAGTGCTGGGATTACAGACGTGAGCCTCCATGCCCAACAGTGGGGATCCCTTCTTGTTGTGTCCTTACATGGCTTTTCCCCTGTGTGAATGTACCTCTCTCTGTGTGTCGAAATGCCCTCTTCTTAGAAAGACACCAGATTGGATTAGGGCCCACCCTAAAGGCTTCATTTTAACTTAATTACCCCCTTTAAAGCCCTGTCTCCAAATGCAGTCACCTTCTGAGGTACTGGGGGTTAGGGATTCAAATTATGAATTTGGGGAGGTCATGACTTAACCCATAACAACGAGCATCCAGCAGCATTAATTATAAACACAGGTTTTTGTGGGGTTTTTTTTTTCTGCTTTAGAAAAAGTCTGTCAATATCCTCTTGCAGGTATATTATTATTTCAAATAATATTTTATTAAAAAACTTCAATTCTTTTCTGCATAAGAGATATTAAGAAATGTGTATTGCCTAGTCAGTAAATATTAAATGATATTTGGGAAGGCTTCTGCTGTAGCTTTCCTGCTTTATATTCAGTTCTCAATATTTTCCTTTTGTTTTTGAACATTTATAGTACATATTTAATTATTTGAGGATTTTAAATTTTGAACCTAATTGGAAATATTCCTGTGAAGACATGTATCGATATATGATACACGAGGTGATTTTGAATACACAGTCTCAGTTAATTAACCCTCCACATCCAGTGAAATACATTTAATAAATCATAAAGTGTCAGATAAAATCACTTGAATGGTGTGACTTAGAGAGTTTTAGTGAGGTCTAACAGTGCAAGAGATGCCTCTGTGAATGGCCATGATCTCTCTGGAGTTTTCGGAGTAACAGGGAGATAGAGATATTTTACCAATTTGTTACTTAGCTTTTAATCTCCACTTGACCAAACATGATCAGTTGAGCAGGGAACTATGTAGCCTTTTCTGATTCATTTCTTTAGAAGCAGCATATGAGTGTATTACACAACATGTTTCCCTGTGAAGTGACCAATTGTTTCCAGACCTACTTTTATTCCTAGACCCATTTCTGACACACCATTCAGCTAATCACCAACTAAACAGGCTGTTCCCTAATTCGAATTGCAGTATCCCCAAACATTCTATCAGTGGTTAGGAAGATGGTCTTTTCAGAATGTGAGCACACACATTCATGCTACTCCCTAGGGGTCCTTGTAGACATCTTGCCTTTTGCTGCGAATTGATAGTATCTGCAGTGCTTTAAGAGTTTTCTCCTTTTATTTTTATCAGTTCAATGATCTTTTTTTGTTAGTTTTTACCAATTCAACCTATCTTTCTCCTTTTAAGAATTAGTGCCAACTAGTATTCTACAAAATTTGATTGCTGACAATCCCCACTGAGATATACTGCCACTTTATACTAGGATATATCCATGATGTAAAAGTCAGTATTTTTTCATCTTTTTAATCTCACCAACAATCCACAATATGTTAAGCCAAGTTCAAATCTTATACAAAAATTTACTTTATAGGAATCAACTAAGAAATATGAATGTATATCTCTGCATTTTGATATTAATATATAAAAACACTGTCAAGTTAATTCTATGAGTGTTTCATCATAATTATATAATTATTTACCCAATGCCTTTTATATCTTGTTATAAGTAGAGTGGTATTCACGAGTTAGCAGCTAATACAAGGAAAAAAATAAATCAAAATAAAATTCAGAATTTGGTTAGACATGGTATTTATCTTGTTAAATGGTAATATTAATTTTATAAAGGCGTGAGTTAAATAGAATAATTTAAGTAAGTATCATAGTCAATTGCCTAAGTGATAATCCAGTTTAAGTTAACTTTAATTGACATTACAAGTAAGTTTATATAGTTTCCTTTACATTGTGGTCAAATAGTTTGCCTGAGATCTTAGTTTACATATTCAGTATTTAGTTCTGTTAAGAAATTTATTTTTAAATAACATAATAAAAATGAAACAAATATTTTAGGATGAATATAAAAAGTGACATTGGTTCCCCTCTGCCCCCTGCCAGTGATTCAGATACATGTAAATCCAATTATTCTGGCTGCCCTGAGGAAAAGGAAGACTTTGAATAACTAGAGTAATTTCTTTGCTTCAGAAAACACTCCTTTCCTCTTTTTAATACTTAAATTATTCTATGCCTTTAACCTTTAAAGCCTTATAAAGTCAAATGATCTCAGGTTCTAAGACTCTATGATGTTATAAATTCACAGGAAAGGTTTGCCAATGTCAGTGCTACAGAAACTTTTGGCATTGGTATAGAAGGTTAAATAAGTTTTCTTTGGGAGCTTAGAGGTGCTGTATTTTGACATTCAGGGTCTTTATCAAGTGTGATTTCAAATGACTATTAATGCTTCCATGACATTCAATATAAGAAGAAATCAGGACACACTTTTTAATTTCACTATATTTGAACTATTTATTTAAATACACTATCATTTTATCATTTTAAAAATATTTGCTCAAGATCCTAAGATTGCTTTTGTCAATATCCCATTTTATTTTACTTGAGATAAAACAATTATATTGTTTACATAGATTTAGCAATGCAGTTTTCTCCCTGTAAAATGAGGGTAATAATAGTAATTAACTCATGGTGTCGTAAAATTTAAATGACAAACTACAATCAAAACCTCTCAGGACAGTGCCTTGCACACAGAAAGTATTACGTAGGGATGACTTTTATTATCATCATCATCATTTTCATTAATATCATTAGTATTATTCTTATGTTTATGAATAGAAGCACACAAAATGAAGATGGAAAAAATTGAATGTGCGTCTAATTTCTTAGCTGTGGTATCCACATCATATTTACCCTTTCCCCTTCCCCATCACTGTCTGCCTTCCTGAATCTGTTCTTATTTGTTATCTAATGGGGTTAAAATTAGAAAAAAAATATTTGAGACAAACTATGAGATTCCTATATGTGTGTTTATTGTATTTGTATTTCCTCCGAGCTCCATTTGTCTGGAAGACATCTAGTATGTCCAGATTTTAAGAAAACCCAATCCATCACAGTTCTTGAGATGGACTCTCTTGTGTCTACCACTCACATATATATATATATATATATATATATATATATATATATATATGTATGTATGTATATATATGTATGTGTATATATATGTATATATATGTACGTATATATATGTATATATGTATGTGTATATATGTATATATGTATGTATATATGTATATATGTATATATGTGTATATATGTATATATATGTATATATATGTATATATGTATATATATGTATATATATGTATATATGTATATATATGTATATATGTATGTGTATATATATGTATATATATATGTGTATATATGTATATATATGTGTATATATGTATGTATATATGTGTATATATATGTATATATATGTGTATATATATGTGTATATATATATGTGTATATATATATGTATATATATATGTGTATATATATATATATATTTTTTTTTTTTTTGAGACGGAGTCTCGCTCTGTCGCCCAGGCTGGAGTGCAGTGGCGCGATCTCAGCTCACTGCAGGCTCCGCCTCCCGGGTTCACGCCATTCTCCTGCCTCAGCCTCTCGAGTGGCTGGGACTACAGGCGCCCGCCACCACGTCTGGCTAATTTTTGGAATTTTTAGTAGAGACGGGGTTTCACCATGTTAGCCAGAATGGTCTCGATCTCCTGACCTTGTGATCCGCCCCCCTCGGCCTCCCAAAGTGCTGGGATTACAGGTGTGAGCCACCGCGCCAGGCCTATAGTGACCTAGGTTTTTGCCTCCCTTTACCTACTATGCTAATATTCTCCTTTCTCCGTTAAGCTTTTGAACGGCATAGCTACTGTCACTAACATTGTATGATTACTAATTATTATTTCTAATGCATCATAATTAGGCTTCTGCCTACTTCTAGAACCTGTCTTAACTCTGAAATTTTGATTTCGAAACTTTGTTGTATTCTCACATTTTCCTGTGCCATTGAATAGACTCATTCAAGTATTCCTATGACAACTCATTGAGATATTGAAACCACTGAGCTGCCAATATTTTAACAATCCAGAAAATGCCTTCAGTTTTACTTAATACTTATTTCACCTCAAGATCTCCTAGTTTTTTATAAAACACACCAGCACACATACATGTACAACCCATCAAAAATTCCCATCAATTCTATCTCCAAAATATCTCTGGTGGCAGAAATAATATTATGTGTTCAGTAAACTTTTTCATTCTTTTCAGAATAAACAGAAAACCTATATTTCCCAGGCACTTACTCCACTACAGTCATATGTGACCATAAGACTGGAGGTAATGAATGAGTTATCACTCTATAGTTCACACGAGGTCTGGTTGTTAAAATGTCTGTGACCTCCCTCGCCTCTCTGTCTTGCTCTCTCTCTCACCATGTGACATGCCTGCTCGCTCTTTGCCCTCTGCCATGAGAAAAGGTTCTCGAGACCCTCCCAAGAGGCAGATCCTGGCACCATGCTTCTTGTGCAGCCTGTAGAGCCATGAGCCAAATAAACCTTTTTTTTTTTTTTTTGAGATGGAGTCTCCCTCTGTTCCCCAGGCTGGAGTGCAGTGGCATAATCTCAGCTCACTGCAACCTCCGCCTCCTGGGTTCAAGCGATTCTCCTGCCTTAGCCTCCCAAGTGTGGTGCCCGCCACCACACTCAGCTGATTTTTGTATTTTTAGTAGAGACGGGGTTTCACTATGTGGGCCAGGCTGGTCTCGAACTCCTGACCTCAGGTGATCTGCGTGCCTTGGCCTCCCAAAGTGCTGGGATTACAGGCGTGAGCCACCGCACCCGTCCCCTAAACCTCTTTTCTTTAGAAATTACTGAGCCTCGGGGATTCCTTGGTAGCAATGCAAGTGGACTAATAACATATTATACATATCAAAACATCACTATGTACCCCAATAATATGTATGAATATTATCTGTCAATTAAAAAATAAACTTTACATTTCAAGTGGGATAAAATCCCAATTCTTTTTCATGACCTAATTCATTCAGCATGTAGCCATATGCAGAAGATTAAAACTGGACCCTTTCCTTACATCATATACAAAAATTAACTCAGGATGTATTCAAGACTTAAATATAAAACCCAAAACTATAAAAACCCTGGAAAGCAATCTAGAAAATACCATCCAGGACAAAGGAACGGACACATGGAGGAAAACAACAGACGCTGGGGCCTGTTGGAGGATAGAGGGCGAGAGGAGGCAGAGGATGAAGAAAAATAACAAATGGGTACTGGGCTTAATACCTGGATGATGAAATAATCTGTACAACAAAGCCCCATGACACAAGTTTACTGATATAACAAACCTGCACATGTACTCCTGAAAAATAAAAATAAAGTAAAATAAAGTTTGAAACCCTACTTTAAAAAAAGTAATGAAATGTGCTAATTAATAATACAGTTCTCACAATGTGACACCTGACATTTAGTTCCATGACTTTTTTCTGGTTCTAAATATTTTTTAATTATAAAAAGATCAACAGTCCCATCAATTATGCTCCTGTGTCTTTTGAATAGTTCTTGTTGATCTGTGGGGATTTATTGTTCTTATTCTGTGACTCATAGCAAAGATCATTTTCTTGTCCCTTTGATGTTTCAGATACATTTACATTCATATAAATCTACAAAATACCAGGAATAACTACAAGAAGAGACACTTCTCTGGAAAAGTATTTCAGATGGTGACATTGTAAAAAATGCTAATATATAAATCATTGTAAAAAAAAGCTAATATACAGATCAATCCAGTTGAAGATGGAGCTTCATTCATCTCCAGTCTTAGACATATACATGGAGGCAACAAAACGCCTGGCCCAACTGAAGCCATCCAAGTTCAAATACACAACAAATGAGTTTCACAACAAGTGAAAGGTCATTTCTTTAATCCATGTTTTCTTGGAAAGCAGACAGATGTCATTCTTTCCACCCTGTATAATTAAACAGTTTAAATGGAAAAAAAAAATTCAGCATGGTATAGTCCAATGCCCCAGTCATGTTGAGCTATCTTCAGGTTCTCAAGCATGTCAGGCTCTTTCTAACTTAGAGAAAATGTTTAAAACTTTTATTTGAAGTTCAGGAGTACATGTGCAGGTTTGTTATACAGGTAAACTTGTGTCGTGGGGTTTTGTTGTACAGATTATTTCATCACCCAGGTATTAAGCCCAGTACCCATTAGTTATTTTTCCTGATCCTCTCACTCCTCCCAGTCTCCACCTTCTAAGAGTCTCCAGTGCCTGTTGTTCCCCTCTATGTGTTCGTGTGTTCTCATCAGTTAGCTCCCACTGATAAAGGAGAATAAAGGTATTTGGTTTTCTCTTCCTGTGACAGTTTGCTAAGGATGATTGCCTCTAGCTCAATCTATGTCCCTGCAAAGGGCATGATCTCATTCTTTTTTATGGCTACATAGTAGTCCATGGTGTATATGTACCACATTTTCCTTATCCAGTCTACATTGATGGGAATTTAGGTTGATTCCATGTCTTTGCTATTGTGAATAGTACTGCCATTAACGTATTTATGCATGTGTTTTCATGATAGAATGATTTAAATTCCTTTGGGTATATACCCAGTGATGGGATTGCTGAGTTGAATGGCAGTTCTGTGTTTAGCAATTTGAGGAATCACCAGAGGAATTCTTCTTTGAGGAATAACCATTGTTTTCCACAATGGTTAAACTAATTTACACTCCCACAAGCAGTGTATAAGCGTTTGCTTTTCTCTGCAACCTCACCAGAATCTGTTGTTTTTTGACTTTTTAATAGCAGCCATTCTGACTGCTGTGAGATACTATCTTATTGGTTTTAATTTTCATTTCTCTAATGATCAGTGATATTAAACTTTTTTTCATATGCTTGTTGGCTGCATGCATGTCTTCTTTTGAAAAATGTCTCTTCATGTCCTTTGCCCATTTCTTAATGGCATTTTTTATTGTAAATTCGTTTAAGTTGCTTATAGATGCTGGATATTAGACCTTTGTCAGATGTGTAGTTTGCAAATATTTTCTCCCATCCTGCAGGTTGCCTGTTTTCCCTGTTGATGCTTTCTTTTGCTCGGCAGAAGCTCTTTAGTTTAATTAGATCCCATTTGTCAATTTTTGCTTTTGTTGTAATTGCTTTTCGCATCTTTATCATGAAATCTTTGTCAGTTCCTGTGTCCAAAATGGTATTGCCTAAGTTGTCTTCCAGGAATTTTATAATTTGGGGTTTTTCATTTAAGTCTTTAATCCATCTTGAGTTAATTTTTGTATACGGTGTAAGGAAGCTGTTCATCCAGTTTCAATTTTCTGCATATGGCTAGCCAGTTATCCCAGCACAATTTATTGAATAGGGAGTCCTTTCCCCATTGCTTGTTTTTGTCAGCTTTGTCAAGGAACAGATAGTTGTAGATGTATGGTCTTGTTTCTGGGCCCTCTATTCTGTTCCATTGGTCTCTTTATTTCTTTTTGTACCAGTGCCATGCTGTGTTGGTTACTGTAGCCTTGTAGTATAGTTTGAAGTCCAGTAGCATGATGCCTCCAGCTTTGTTATATTTGCTTAGAATTGCCTTTGCTATTGAGGTTCTTTTTCCAATTACCACTTACTTAGCAAAAAAATCCCTTCCTCTCCCCGATATTTTACATTTTTAGTTCTTTATATTTAGGTCTCACCTGGGAGATCTTCTATGAGGACCTGAACTGGTTTGTCCCCTTCTCTAATTTTCCTGGTTTCTTGTTCATTTAATCCATTCACTGCCTTTATTACCTTCATTAATTCTTTTTTAAAAAAATATATGTGTATCTGTTGTTCCATCTTTATATGCAGTTTATGGGGTCAGGGAGGAACCATATCTGTCTTCTTCACTATTGCATTCCCTGTGCCCAGAACAGTGACTGTACTAATCACTTTAAATGTCACACTAAAAATACTCCAATAAAACTGATTTGACAAAAGTCATAAACAAACCCCTAATCAACAAATAGAATGTTCATGTTTCAGTGTTTTTTATATCTGAATTTCATAGACATTCCTTTTTGAAATCCTTTTCATTTTGCTTACGTGACATCTCCCTATTCTAATTCTCTTTCTAGATTTTGGGTAGTTTCCTTCAGTTCTACTTTGTGTAGTCCTTATCCATTGCACAATATATTATTTTAACTCCTGTGCTTTTCTTCTTATCTCCTAATCACAAAAGTTTATTTGCTACCAATATGTTTAATCCTACCTAGTCCTATCTTTCTAAAAATGACCTGTGTGGAAGATACGAATGGTTTGCTCACTCAGAACCCACACCACTCAGTCACGTTTTCTTTGTCTTTTCAAAAAAATTTACACACTGGGAAACCAAAATAGTCAATATCACAGTCTTTATTGTATCTAGAGATGGACTATTAGGCAGGATTTTTGATAATGATGTATAGTTAGAAATGCCTGACGAAGGAGTTCCTCTATACACACACACACACACACACACACACACACACACACACACACACACATACACCCCTAGGATTCTGGGGAAAAATACTCTACATATCCAGCTAGTTTGAAGGAAGATGGAAGAAGTCTGGGTTCTCAGGAGCAATACTGGACACCCTGTTAACATTGAACTGCCAACCTCAACTTTGTATAATCTGACAAAATAAGCCTTTTATCCGTTTAAGTCGTTCAAGTGAAAGTTTTCTGTTATTCATAGCTGAATGAAATGCTAACAGCCTCTCTTGAGGTACAAACCAGTATATTCATTAGTCATGTGCATCTCAGGCCGAAGATATATAACACTGAAATCATTTTACATTTCTTATATTCTCAGATTTTCCATTTCCCTTTTTGACCTAGGTATCTTCGTTACTGCTGCAGGGTCTTCTGGTATAGTTATTAATGGAGTGACTTTCTAGACTTGGAAAATTCCCTTACTCCCTATATTCAATTGGTAACTACATGCTCTTGGATATATCTATAATTAGTAGCTGTATTTCCACCCACAGCAGCACTCCCCGCCTCAGGCTTTCCACATTCCTCACATTTGCCATTGAATTTGACTTTTGTTTATCATATGTCTTCAAATATGCTCCATTCTAATTCATCCCCCACATAGCAGAAAAAGTAGCTTTTTCTAACACAAAATTTTGATTGTATTTGAACACAGCTCTATATCCTGTGTTGTTGCTCAAACGTTTTCAGAACACTTAAACATGACATTAAATAAATTTCATGATCTATATCCTGTTTCTAGATTCCTTATTTGTCACTTTATCCCGTCTACTCTGTCCTTTTGCCATACCTGTACAGCAACAACTTGCTTTTCCTAAAATCTGCCATGGGGTTCCATGCCTCCATTACTTTTCTCATGTGTTTTTTTCCACCCTGCTTTTGGCTGTCTTTACCCTGGCTTGTGATTAGGACATAATTTATGGTTAATCCTTCAGGAACTAATACAACTTGTAACTTCTCCATAATATATTTTGAACCCCCATTCCTCTCTGTGCATAGACATCGTTGCTTTCCTCTCTGTGTCTTCATGGTGCTGCTACCTGAGGTCATTATTTGTTTACTAGTCTCTTCCTCCTTCTTGTGTCAGTATTCAATTAGAGAAACAGAACTAATGTAAAATGTGTACCAAGAAATTTATTGCAAGGCATTGGATTACACGATTATGGAGGCTAGCTAGACAAACTGAAATCCATCAGGTAGGCTGTCCGGAAAGGCAGGCTGAAACTCTTGGTGTAAGCTGAAGCTGTTGTCCACAGGCAGAATTTCTCCTACTTCCGGAAAGTCTTAGCTCTGGAAAGGTCTTTCAACTGATCAAACCAGACTCACCCAGATTATCTAGTATAATCTCCCATACTTAGAATTAATTCACAAAGGACTTCAATCACATCTACCAGATATCTTCCCAGAAAAATCCGTATTAATATTTCATTGAATAATTTGCTACAGTAACCTACACAAATGGACACATAAAATGCTCTCTCATACTTCCTCAGGGCAGATATCATGTCTTTTCATCTGTATAAATTCAGCTCCTGGCACATTGCCAGAAATTTGTCTATAATAGTACAACACTGCTGGGCAGGAGCTGGAAATTTGATGAAAATTAATTTAACAATAACTTTCTTTCAGGCAATTAATTCTTTTCTTACTTATACAAGTACTGAGGTGAATCCTGCAAAAGAAAAAGAGAAAAAGTCTGACCATAAATGAATTTCAAGAGGGCACAAGACCATGATAGACTGGATGGCTCCAACATGTGTCTGGATATTGGAAAGGAATTATGATTCCTAAATATAACTCAGTATAAGGAAGAAGACATACAGACCATCAATCCAGACCCGATTCCAAGTTATATGGGTCAGAATGATCTTTTCATTCTGGATATAGTTTGAGGGTTGGTAACAAAATTCATCAAGAACCAGTGACTCTCTTTGCATATGCATATCCAAGGAGACAGTGACTTTGGTATTAAAAGAGATATAGCACTTGACATCCATTAGGCCATCTTCTCTCAGACCTTAAAGTAGAATGAGATAGTTGCATCCTTTTTCTCTCAGAAGATATTATTACTATTGTGACTCAACGGTCAAGTGCAGGAGACATACAATTAGTGAAAAATCTAGAGTTGTAGTACATGGGTGCTAGCTGAATGTACGGGGTGGCAATTTAAAATTGCTGGGGATAGAAATAATGACTTAAGTGACATCTAAGTTGAGCTGGGAAGGAAGGAGAGGTAGGTGAGTATGACTGCTTCAGGTACAGGTTTTAGATGATCTCAAGATATGGAGTTGAGAACACGCTTGGAACTGTTTAAGAAATTGAAGGAGTTGAATGTGCATATATACTGAGAACAAACAGGAAGAAGGTTCAAATTCATTAAAAATGTTGAACTTTCTCCTAAAGCAATGAAAAACTATTGTAAGATTTTAGACAGACGTGTAAGGTAATCATATTGTGTTTCAAGTATAACATTTTTGTTACATTGTAGAAGATGGACTGTATAAAGAAAAGTAAAAGATATTGAAATCTACAGAGATACTTTCTTAAGACAATGTCTTGGGCTAGTTTGAAGGCAGGAAAAAGAGGTGAGTGATATTTAAGAGATAATATCAGTGAAAATGGAGAAATAAGAAAGGAAGAGAGGCATATTGGACTGCCATGTTTCACGTTTGAACATATTTGAGGAAGGTGGTACAATTTAATGATATGAGGTATATTATATAAGGAATGGGGAGAGTGACATTAGTTTTGAAGATGCTGCCTCTATCTGAAGGGTTTGCATCTTATTGCAGCCATCAAAAGCAGCTGGGTAATCTGGCCTAGAGTTCAGCAGGGAAATCAAAGTTTGAAATAGCTATTTGAGTTGTCTGTCTATAGATTATTGTGAAATTCATAGCTGAAAAGTGCACAGGTGGAACTATTAGAACTAGCAGATGAAAAAGTAGAGAGAAAAAGGGAGAGAAAGAAAAAGATGGACTGAAGACAAGAGATGGAGACATGGGGAACTAATCTTTAAGATCAATTAGGTGAGTAAATCCTAGCAAAAAAAAACTGATAAAAATGAGCATAAGAATTTTGGGGAAAACATGGATCATGGGGTATTATGAAACAATGAGGAAAATAGTGTCTTAAGAAAGAAAAAGTAGAGTGGACCACCAGGTCAGCTGCTGGAGTTTATACATGGTGAAGTGCCCGTTAGATTTAGTGATGTGGAAGTCAGGGACTTTAGTGAGAAAAGCTTTAGTGAAGAGGTGAAAATAAAGGTCAGATGGGAATGTGTCATTAAAGGTGCATAAGCCAAACCATTCCACAGAGAAAGCATGTTGAATAAATTTGGGAACTCATAGGGGACTTTGGGTGAGGTTGAAGAAAAATTTATGTGTTTGTTCCTGTGTGTGTGTGTGGATAGGAGGGAAGAATTTTTGCCAGAATGTTGGTTACAGCTCGGTTAATTTAGTGAACTTTTCACTTTATCTCTCATCACTCCGTTCCTCAAGAATGGAAGCACTCAATCCCATCCCTCTCCAAAAGGGTGAGCCAGATGAAGCTCTTGCCTTATGCTACACCAGGATGATAACAGCAGCACCAATGGGCACTTGTGAGTGAAAATGTGGTGATACTGTCCAGCCTGGCACTGCAGTGAGAACGGATAATAGGATCTTAATGTAAGCCCACCTGGAATTTTTATTAAGTATTTAGATAGGGGTGGTTCATGAAAGAATGGATCTCTTACATTAGAGAGCATAGACATTGGGAACACTTCAATCTTAATAATAATATAATTAAAATTCACGAGGAATAGACTAGATTATCAGACACATAATATACACTTGGTAAATGATTGCTAAACAGATATTCATTAATTCATTAATTTAATTGATCCACCAGAGGATATACACACTATATCCTTTCTTTATTTCATCCAGAGAGAATAGAAATGAAACTGAGGGAAAACACAGGTGCTCAGATAAATTAAAGAATATTGCTGGAGAGGTCGAAATTTAAAATTTAGTCACTCACTGGCTTGTTTGGAGTAATAAGACTAGAAGGGCTATTCGGTATCAGAAAGCCTGATTCAAAGTAGTACAATGTTTTTTCAATTTTTTAAAAATTGGAAATGAAATTGATATCAGAATGTATTAGGCGGTTAATGTCATCTTCCAGTCCAATTATTTTTTGTTTTGGACATTGCTGGCTTTTATATTGTGGGTACTTGATTTTTCTATTCAGGTAAATAAGAGTTAATAGCTAGAGTGTGAATTTGGCCCCAATAGATAATTAGTATAATCTGTTATGTATGAAAGCAGGATTGGCAGGACTTTGATTTTAATAATGCCCATGGTATCAAATCAACAATTTGTCATGATGGCTGCAAAATGCACAGATGGGCAAATACACATTCCTCATTTTGTAATTTATTTGTTTTTCCAAAGGAATCCACTGAGATTATTCTTTTTTATTTGAATATTCAGAATAACAATGAAAGCGACTGTCTGAAACGCTGCATTTCAAACTGGTGTATCATTTTCTTACTTATCATTATAAAAAAACTCTTTACCTCATATGCTATTCTTCTATTTCTCTTTCATCCCACATGTGGGAATGGGTATAAAGACAGGAAAGGACTAAGACTATAACAAATCATATAATCTTAAAACCAGAAAAAATATATATAGCCCCACTTTGATATAGTTCAAGGTACATTAGTGTATTTTTAGTACTTCGTTTATAGGATAGGTTTATGTGTGTTTTGTATAATTAGTGACAGTAGTGCAAATATACAATTTTATAGGTACAATGCATGCATACAGTTTATCTTTAGAAATATATTTGAGATGTTTAGATGTTAAGAGGCTCCATATTGCTGTTTTAAAAGATAGCAACTAGATAATAAATTGTTATCTTTAATACATGTTGACTTTAATATATATCCAATCAAGGATATTAGCAGGTATATGAATGAAATGAAACTTTTGTTTTACAAAGTTTGTTTGGGGAACACTCACTAAAAAGAGAAGCTGGGAGAGGAGGCTATTTTTCCAGGCAATTTAACTGTCCATGTAATAATAGGCTATATCTACTGCAACCTTTGACTTGGAACTATCAATCTATGGATATGAGAGATCCTTCTATTAGCACATATTATAGAAAATATACATAATATACTCTCCACTAACAATTATGGATAATGTATATTAAAGTCTGTCTCCCTCTCTCTCTCTCTGTCTGCCTTTTTAATGTGTATATATACTGTTAAGAAAAGATCACGCCGGGTGCAGTGGCTCACGCCTGTAATCCCAGCACTTTGGGCGGCCGAGGCGGGCGGATCACGAGGTCAGGAGATCGAGACCATCCTGGCTAACCCGGTGAAACCCCGTCTCTACTAAAAATACAAAAAATTAGCCGGGCGTCGTGGCAGGCGCCTGTAGTCCCAGCTACTCGGGAGGCTGAGGCAGGAGAATGGCGTGAACCCGGGAGGCGGAGCTTGCAGTGAGCTGAGATCCCGCCACTGCACTCCAGCCTGGGTGACAGAGCGAGACTCTGTCTCAAATAAAAAAAAAAAGAAAAGAAAAGATCACGAGGTACCCCCAAGGAAAAGCAAAGGAAAGCTTTATTTTCTAAAAAAAAAAAAAAAAAAAAAGCAATTTGAAGATAAGGAGACACAACTTCTTTTGTTAATGGGAAAATTCCTTTGGGAGAGCAAAGAGTGGAACTGGCTTAGTGACAGTTTCCACCCTAGTTCACAATCAGGCCCATATATGCAATTGAAGAATTCACACCCATTTATTCTGTATTGGTTGAAAACGACTGAGTCCCCATTGTGTAGCTGCTGGCCCCAGTCAGAGGTGTCTGGTGGATACCCCTTTCAGGCAGCCGGTAGGAGCAGTTTTCAGGCCATGGTGTCTTAGCTCCCGCTACAGGAATCATCCCAGTTGCAGGCCAGGAGGTTACAGAAACTGCCTTAGCTCTGAGGTGTCTGGAGCTGCCCTCTGCAGGAGAAACGGGGCATAACCACCCATCGCTCACTCACCAAGGACACCGTGATAGGTTCATTTCACAGCACTCTGGTGGGTGTCTGTGTGTGAAAATACCTTAGTAAGTTTTGTTAAATAGTTACAGTTTTATGAGAACTTTTTGCTTCTTTCTGGTATTTATATCACATTTAATAAGGTAATGTCTTGGAATGAAAGAAGTCAAAAAAAGATAAAAAATACGTCTTTTAAACCACCACTTGCTCTCTAGACATGAACACATGCAAGTTACTTCTAATAGAAGAAATAGTTTAAAGGTAAAAATACGTAAAAGGGTAGTCCATACTTATCCTATATTGCAAAGTTCTTTTTGCTAGAAATTTTATAGTCTTTTAAGTTATTTTAAATATTTGTAAATAAGACAATTTAGCTTAAGGTGAAGCTGATTTCCATTCACAATTCTAAATAAGGCAGAAGTAGAAGCAAAGGATAAAGGAAGGGACAGAGAGAAAGTATTGAGGCAAGGAGAAGGAGAGAAGGATGGAAGGAGGATAAATGGAGTGAAGAGATAATGAGAGAGCGGGAGGAATGACGGATGGAGGAAATCAAAGGGAAAGCGAAGGATGGAGCGGACAGAAGATTGAGAGAGAATCTCAATCCTTTCCCAGTTTTCCTCTTCAGAGAACTTTCTGTGACTCACTTGTGAGTATCATTTCTCAAGCCCTCAAGCTCTTGTGGGCTTCACCCTACATGTGATAATAAAGAGCTTTTGGGTTCCAGTGTGCTATAAGGATATCGTTTGTATAGTATGGATTGTTTTTCTGAAAATGATAGTCTACCTCTGTAACACAACTAAGATGATGTCAGAGTAGAGAGACAATAAGTTACATCCTGAAGGCTAATTGAAGATCTACTATATTATGTTGGAGGGTCCAGGAAACAAGATGGGTGTGAAGCCCTATGTCTGGTTGGGGAGAACAGGACCCTTTCTTATAAAAATGTCTGTCAGCTGGAAACACTATACAGCTTCTTGACTATTACTTCATAAGGCATGATTGTACCAAATTATGTGCTAAGAACCTCAAATACACTTCTTAGTTAATAGTTCCTAGTTTCAGGAACAATTTCTATTTCAGAATTCCATCAGAAGCAACTCTGCTTTGCTGAATAAAAGAAGTCAGGAAAAATAGTTGATATTATCATAAAATCATTAGACATCTCTGTGCTTTATTCCAGATATATAAGCATGAATCAAAAGAAAGATTAGGTCTTTTCTATTCATGAACTCACCTCCGTTTTGTTCTCTAGAAAAATATAAGGCTTGGGAGAATCATTTTAAAAGCAATCTTTTAAAATACACGACATGCTTCTGCGTTTTAGGTCTGAAATGCAAATACACAGTGTGGAGCAAGAAGTTTTGGTAAGCCTTCTTATCTTCAAATCATGTGCTGAGGTTAAGAAAAAGGGTGATGCCCCCTCTAGATAGTTCATCCTTTCTACTGCACGGATTCAAATCTACTTGCATATTTGCAGAGCACCTTCTCCACAGTTCCCGTGGGCTTGTCTTCTAGAGGAAGAAATTAGAAGGAAGTTAGTAAGATACTATGCAGCTCCCAGCTCTGCAGTTGATTTTAGGGCTACAAGTGATACTCACCTCCCTCTTCCACTAACCTTTCTCCATTTGTCTTACCCACAGCTATCAATCTATCTGGCTATTTTTTTTTGTATTTTTACCAGAGACGGGGTTTCACTATGTTGGCCAGGCTGGTCTCAAACTCCTGACTTTGTGATCTGCCTTCCTCGGCCTCCCAAAGGGCTGGGATTACAGGCGTGAGCCACCACGCCTGACCAACACTGATCTTTATGTAGGGGCAATTACTCTAAATAAGTGATTCCTGGATTGTTTCCATTTATGTCATAGAATTTGTAATTTAAGTGAATTTCTTGCTTGAGATAACAAGTGATATTACTTTCCTCAAGATAACATAGAAGTCAAGGCAAAAGAGAAGTAGCAATTTCAAGAGGCTTGAGAAAAAAAGTATAAACTAAGGAATTTGTATTTAAATGAGTTTTAGATATATAAGGCTTCAGAATATAGTTTGGAATATGAATTAACTCAGGAAATAATGCATACACCTGTGCTTCTGAAAGAATCTACTGGAGGATGAAGTTAATCAATCAAAAGAAAACTGGGGAGGTTATAGCAAAAGGCTGATGTAAACCTTAAATATATTTAATTATAATACCAAGCTGAAGATAAGGATATGGGTGAAGAAAAGTATGAGAACATTTTATGTTTGACAACACAGAAATAGTGCATCATTACCAAAAAAGGAGAACACAGAAAAAAAAGAAAAAGTATATTGGTGTCATTGACTGTGTTGTAGAGAATAAGTAAGAATTAAAATCGCCATTCAAAACTGACAGACTCCATTGTAAAATGTTAAGCAAGAAAAAATGTCTCTATCAAATTTGTAAATGCAAAGGAAATACTAAAATAAAAATAAAAGCCTTTTAAAAAGTTCAAAAGTAAATTTAAAATATAACAAAAGTAAATAAATAAATAAATAATTAATTACCCTTACAAATTTGATGATGACATTTATCATTATAATCCAGGAGTGATAATACAAATATACGACAAAGTTGAGGACAATATGTCATCAATAAACATGAGTGTGTTTTACTATTAATAATTTACAACAAAGATTTTCAGAGTGGTTTATTAAGGTAAACCCAGTCTTAGGGAACACACCTAAAACAGTGATTCAAAAGGACTAAAAACAGAGGAATGAACAAAAACCCGCCAGGCAAATGAAACAATAAAAAAACAAGGATTGAGAATTTTATATCGGAACAAATATAGTTCAGATGAAAAGCAGTAAATGAGAAAAAGACTATGATTAGTAATAAAAACAATTCAGAATGCTTATACAACAATTATGATCATCAGTGCTTTAAATATGCCCAAACACCCACATATTCTCATAAATACACATTAATTACATATACAAAAAAGAAAATACCAGAGATTGAGAAGAAAAAGGAACATGCTAACAACAGGAAACATTAACACATCACTAGCAGTAAAATAAAGATTATTTATTTGGGATCGATGCCCCCAGCAAGGGTGAAATTGCTATGTCATGTGATAGTTACATGTTTAATTTTTAAAGAAACTGCCAAAATGCTTTCTAGTGGTGATGCTGGTGGTACCAAGTCACGTTTCCAACAACAATGTGAGGATCCATTTTCTCTGTATCCTTGCCGTCATTTGTTATAGATGCTATTTTTGTTTAGCCATTTGAATAGGCATAGAGTGATATCTCAGTGTGATTTTAATTTGCATTGACCTATTGATGATGTTGAACATCTTTTCATGTCTTCATTTGCCATCAGTATGTCTTTGGGTAAGTGTTTCTTTCTGTGTTTTGCTCATGTTGTAATTGGATTGTTTAGAATTTAACAGTTGAGTTTTGATAGCTTTCAAAAAACATATTTTAGATACTAGTCCTTTGTTCTATATGTAGTCTGCATATATTTTCTCCTACTTTTTTAAATTGTCTTTTCATTTTTTTAACAGGGTCTTTCATAGAGCAAAAGCTTCTAGTTTTAATAAAGTCAAATTTTTGTGTTTTTTTAATGAATCATGCTTTTTGGTGTTGTCTAACAACTCTTCGCTTAGCTTTAGATCTCAAATATTTTATCTTTATTTTCTCTAAAACTTTTACAGTTGTACATTTTACATTTTAGCTCTAAGATTGATTTGTGTAAGGTGTGAAACTTGGGTTAAGATTAATTATCTTTTTTGGTCTCTCCAGAAATGTTCAATTGCTCTAGCAGAATCTGTTGAGAAGTTTATCTTTTCTCTATTGAGTCGCTTTTGAACCGTAGTCATAAATAAGTTGACAGTATTTGCACAGGCCTTTCTGGGTTCTGTATTCCGTTGCATTCATCTACATGTCTATTTCTGTGCTACTATCACAGTCTTGATTACTGTAGCTATCCAATGGGTCTTGAAAATACGTAGACTGATCTCTCTCAGTTTATTCTTCTTTTTGAAAATAGATTTACCTATTCTAGTATTTTAAATTTTCAAAGAAATTTTAGAATAAACTTGTCTGTAGTTCAAAAAAATCATTCTGGGCTTTTATTAGAAATTATGGTCAACCTGTATGTCAATGGAAAGTGAATTGACATCTTTACTAGGCTGACTCTTCCAATGCATGAAAAGTGTATATTTCTTTGTTTATTTACTTCATTTATGTCTTTCATCAGCATTATGTAGATTTCAGCATAGAAGTTGTCTATGTGTTTTGTTACATTTGCACACAAATATTTCTTTTTTTATTGATTGCAAATGCAAATGTATTTTTAATTCCAGGCTTCATGTTCTCCTTGTTAGTATATAAAAACATGATAGATTAAAAAATGTTTAGCTTATATTCTGTGACTTTGCTGAATTCACTTGTTACTTCTTTTTTTTTAATTCCTTTATATCTTCTACATAGACAACCATTTCATTTGTAAATAAAGGCAGTTTTATTTATTCTTCTCCTATCTGTATGCTTTTATTTATTTATTTATTTACTTATTTATTTATTTATTTATTTTTTGAGAGGGAGTCCCACTTTGTTGCCCAGGCAGGAGTGCAGTGGTGCCATCTCAGGTTACTGCAACCTCCGCCTTCCAGGTTCAAGTAATTCTCCTGCCTCAGCCTCCTGAGTAGCTGGGACTACAGGTAGCCGCCACCATGCCCGGCTAATTTTTGTAGTTTTAGTAGAGACAGGTTTCACCATGTTGGTTAGGCTGGTCTCAAACTCCTGACCTCGTGATCCACCCACCTCAGCCTCCCAAAGTGCTGGGATTACAGGTGTGAGCCACCACACTCAGGCCACTTATTTTGTTTTCTTGTACTGGCTAGAAGTTCCAGCACTATGTTGGATGAGAGTGCTGAGAGTGAAATGTTTTTGTCCTATTCCCAATTGTAGGAGGAAAACATTCAATCTTGCCTCGTTAGTACAATGTTACTTGTAGGTTTTCCCTATGTGCTTATTGTTGTTTATTACTAGTTTTCTGAGAGTTTTCATCATGAATGGGTGTTGAATTTTGTCAAATGCCTTCTCTACATTGATTGATAGGATCTTCCTTATCCTCTTAACATGGTGAATAATATTGATTGATAGTCAAACATTGAACCAAACTACATCCCTGGCTGGAATGCACCCATTTGATTAGTGAGGTGAAGAATGGTATGTGATAATATCCTGTTAAGGATTTTTCTGTCTATATTCATGAAAGTTAATATTTGGTAGTTTTCTTTCTTTCTTACTTTTTTTTTGGTACTGGCTTTGTCTAGTTTGTTATCACGGTAATTCTAGTTTCATAAGATAAATTGGGAAGTGTTCCCTTATATTCTCTTTGCTGGATGACAGTGTATAGAAATATTAAAGGTCTGATATAATTCAAAAGTAAAACTATCTGGGCTAAGAGATTTTATTTTTAGGATTTCAAAGTTACATATTCAAATTCCTTGAGTTATGTGGCTTCAAATTAACTATTCCACATGAGGTAAGATGTGATTTTTTATTTTTGAAATCAGGCCATTTTATTTTAGTTGTCAAATTTATGTGTGTGGAGATGTCTGTATTATTTCCTTATTATCATTTTGATGTTTGCAGGGTCAGTAGACCTATATCAGACTTGATATTGACAATTTATTTCTTGTCTCTTTTATTCTTTATCTGTCTTATTAGAGGATTTTCAGTTTTATAGAACTTTTTAAATAACCAGCTTTTTCTGTTTGATTGCTATTACCTATTATTTTCTTATTTTAAATCTCATTAATTTTTGCTCTTACATTTATTTCCTTCCTCCTCCTTGATTTGCAATAATTTTACTCTTTGTTTCCAGTCTTGTGAGGTTGAAGCTTAGATTACTGATTTGAGACTTTTTCATATTTTCTAATGTATGTGCTTAGTTTTTTCAATTTCCCTTTCAGCACTGCTTTTGTTGTATCTGCCCAATTTTAGTATATTGAATTTTCATTGGATTAAATGTATTTTTCAAATTTTTCTTCATAATTTCTCTTTTAGCCATGGATTTTTAAAAAAAGTTTTATTTTAGATTCAGTGGGTACGTGTACAAGACTTTTACCTTACCCGTGGATTTTTTTTTAAGTCTGTTTAGTTTATGTACTTGGAGATTTTTCTATTATCTCTTATTGATTTTTAATTTAAATCCATTGCGTTTGGAGGATGCAGCATATGTTTTAAATTTGTTGAGATTTGTTTGATGGCTGGGCCAATATTAGTAGACTTTCTGCAGACATTTGACAGTCACATGTATTCTACTGTGCTTGAGCACAGTTTTCTGTAACTGTTGATTAGATCCTCCTGACTAATAGCATTGTTTAGGCCTTTTACATCTTTGTTTATTTTCTAATTGTTCTATCCATTGCTGAGAGTGAGTGTTAAGTTTCCAGATACAATACTTGATTTGACTATTTTTTTGTTCTATTCATTTTTGCTTCACACATTTTGTAGGCCTCTTGTTTGGGTAATACATACTTAGAATTGCTATATCTTCTTGATGGCTTGCTTTTTAACATTCTATATTGTCCTGTTCTCTCCGTGGTCATATTCTTGGCTCTGAATATATTCTATATGATATTAATAAAGTCATTCCCATTTTCTTTTTGTTAATGTTGACATGTGCATTCGTTTTCTGTGGCAGCTTTAACAAATTAACACAAACTGGTGGCTTAAAATAACAGAAATTTCTCTCACACGGTTCTGGAGGCCAAAAATCTGGAATTATGGTGTTGGCAGGGGTACACTCTCTCTAGGGGAGAGTCTGTTCCTTGCCTCTTCCAGGTTACATCACTGCAATCTCTGCTTCGAAGATCATGTTACCTCCTCTTCTGTTTGTTTAATCTCTCTCCTCCTTTCTCTCATAAGGACACTTATGGTGGCATTTAGGGCACGTCTAGATAATTTGAGACAAGCTCCTCCTCTCAAGATCCTTCATTTACCCTTACATCGAAGACCTCTTTCTCAAATCAGGTATCATAGGTTCCAGGAATTACCACCTGTTATCTTTGGGGGACATATTTCAGCCTAACTGCAGCATGATCTATCTTTTCCATTATTTATTTTCAACTTACATAGGTTTTTATATTTTAAATGAGTTTTATAGACAACATATAGTTGAGACATTTTTTAATCCACTTTGAAAATCTGTGTTTTTTAATTAGGATGTTTAGATGATTTACATTTAATTTAATTATTGATATGTTAGGACTTAAGTCTGCCATTTTATTTTATTTTTTGGTTTTATGTTTATTACCTCTGTTTTTATTCTGTTTTTTTTTTTGTGGGTGTACCATTCTATGGGTTACTTAAACATATTTTACAATTTCATTTTTACTTATCCATAGTATTTTTGAGTATGTGTTTTTGTATAGCTTTTTAATTTAGTTATGCATACAGAACTTATCCCAGTCTACTGATATTTTTTTACCAGTTTGAGTAAAATATAGAAACCTCACCTCCTTTTACATCTCTTTACCCTTCACTACTTATAATTATCTTAAATGTTTCTTCTGTATATATTTAGAAATACATCAGACAGTGTTAAGTGTTATAATTTTTGCTTCAGCATCAGACTAATTTAGAAAACTCTAGAGAAGAAAAGTGTGTTATATTTACTCATGGTTTTGATTAGCATGTTCTTCCTTTCTCCTCAATGTTCTCAAGTTCCTTTTCTTTTGGCTTTCTCTATTTAGAGAACTCCAGTAAGCCATTCTTCTAGAGTAAGACTGCTGGCAACAGATTCTCTTAGTTTTCCTTTATCTGAGCATGTCTTAATTTCCTTCTCTTACCAGAAAGAATAATTTTGCTGGATATGAGATTATAGAGTAACAATCTTTTTCTTTTAGAATGTGAAAAATGGTGTGCCATGTCCTTCTGGCATGCCAGAAAAATGGTGTGCCATGTCCTTTGTGATTTGAAAAACCCGCTGTCATTTGAATTTTTTTTTGTCCTATAGGTAAGGTGTCTTTTGCTCTAGATGTTTTCAACACTTATCTTTATCTTTAGTTTTCAGAAGTTTAATTATGATGTGCCTTGTTGTATATTTCTTTGAATTCATCCTTTTTTGGATTCCCTTACTCTTGTATCAGTATATTTACATCTTTTGCCAAAATTTGAAGTTCCCAGCTGTTAATTTTTTGAATCCTTTTTCAGCAATACTCTCTTTCTCATCTCTTTTTCAGACTCCTATGATATAAATGTTAAATCTTTGTTATAGTCCCAAAGGTTCCTAAGGCTCTGCAAACTCCATCATAAGTTGAAGAGCATCTATGTTACACATTTAGTGCTTATTTTACACTTACAGCAAATCTCAAGTTAGACGAGCCACATTTCAAGTCCTCAATAGCCACATGACACTAGTAAAGACCAGCAGAGTTCCACACAAATAAATTTGGAATCTTGGTGAAATAACTACTTTTTAAGGAAAATAAAGTTTGGTTTAGTTCAGTTTCTAGGAAGTGCAATGTTGAATGGTAAAATGCTCTTTTGAGAATTTAAGGCTTTTTAAGAGAAATGGTGACACTGTGGGGGTGATGGGACTCCCAAGTCATAGGGACAATGGAGGGGCCGCAGCTGGTAGTTGTGGGGCTAGGCCTGCAGAGAGTCGTTCCCTGCAGTATTTAATTGAACATAGCACCTGTAGGGAAAAAAAGGAGGAGGAGAAGCCTGATACCAGCTAATTCATACAAATTAAAAATTCTCTTTCAAGACTGGATTCTTGAGTGTGTTACCTGTGTAGTTACACAGGGTCCCATGCTCAAAATGGCCTCACATTTAATTTAATGCTCTGCTATTTACACCTTAAAATTATTGCCAAGTTTTCCTTTGAACTTGTATTTTGTAAGTGAAGTCTAATGGGCCAATCAAGCTTGTGCCTGAGCAAAGGAGATTTATGCAGTTTGCACATCTCCTACAAGTCCTTGCTGCCTCACTCACATACAAAGTTCATGATGCCCCCGAGCATAGAACTCCAGTGCACCCACACTGTGTGGGAGACTCAAAGTGACTATAAGGTGCACATCTTACGAAGCGTTGGTAGAATGTGAATGTATTAAGAGGGAGAGTTACGTTTGTGCAGTGTTTCCACTGTTCTTTTAAGAATGAAATACAGAGCCATGTCAGAGTTATAAAATACAAATTGAGTAATTTCAGTGATTTCTTATATCAATGAAATGCTCTCATTCTTTGCAATTAAAAATCACATAGTACAATATAAAGGCACATTACATTATAACATCCATGCAGAAAATTTATTATTATTATTATTGTTTGAGAAAGGGTCTCACTCTGTTGCCCAGGCTGGAGTGCAGTGGCGTGATCTCAGCTCACCACAGCCTATGCCTCCAGGGCTCAAGTGACCCTCCCACCTTAGCCTCCCAAGTAACTGGGACTAGAAGTTCATGCAACTGTGCCTAGCTAATTTTTGTATTTTTAGTGGAGATGGGGTTTTGCCATGTTGCCCAGGCTGGTCTCAAACTCCTGACCTCAGGTGATCCACCTGTCTCAGCCTACAAAACTGCTGGGACTACAGACGTGAGCCACTATGCCCAGTCAATTACTTTTATTTTTTTATTTAAAAATATTTATAATTATTCCTTGATAAAAATCAACATAAATACAATTGCATTATATTTATAACTCAGAAAAACCCCTTTATATGAGAAAAGCCTCTGGCTTATGCTATCATATTTTTTTCTATGGTGTATTTGCAAAAAATATTGTTATATTGTGCCAAAATGTTAAAGATAACTCTTCAAAAATAGTTTAGGATGACAAAATACATACATACATTGCTCAGAAAAAATATTGGAATTATTTTCTCTGTAAAATCAGTATGCAGATGAAACAAAAAAACTCAAATCCATATGGAGCAGTGTAACAGCCGGTTTCTTCAAAATTCCAGAATTCCATGTACATACATCTTCCATTGACGGTGTATGAATTCAACCAGTTTTTCTGTTTCTTTTGCAACTTCTTCTTCTTCTTCTTCTTCTTTTTTTTTTAAACAGAGTCTTGCTGTTTTCTCAGGCTCGAGTGCAGTGTTGCAATCTCGGTTCACTGCAACCT
The DNA here is from genome assembly GCF_000001405.40 of Homo sapiens. Taxonomy (NCBI): domain Eukaryota; kingdom Metazoa; phylum Chordata; class Mammalia; order Primates; family Hominidae; genus Homo; species Homo sapiens. The sequence goes on along the minus strand of NC_000004.12, from coordinate 179,857,326 downwards.
CCGCCTCCCGGGTTCAAGTGATTCTCCTGCCTCGGCCTCCTGAGTAGCTGGGATTAGAGGTGTGCACCACCATGCCTGGCTAATTTTATATTTTTAGTAGAGATGGGGTTTTGCCACATTGGCCAGGCTGGTCTAGAACCCCTGACCTCAAATGATCCACCCTCCTCGGCCTCCCAAAGAGTTGGGATTAGAGGCGAGAGCCACCACGCCCTGCCTCTTTTGAAACTTCTGAAGCCTTCTCTGAAATCTTCAACAGTACTAGCTATTTCTTCACAAATTAAAGTAAAACTCTGAGGAGAAACCCATTCTAATAATATGATAATTTTAGATAACTCAGTAAAGATACTCTGCATCATTTTTATTATTAAATAGCCACCGTAGTTTCAGAAGAAAATTGAGGAACCCATCACCACTGATTTCCAACTTTGCTACTTCAGGTAGATCTCCAAGTTTTATATTTTCTACTTCTATTTTTTAGAAAATATTTCAAAATAATTATTTTTTAAAAATATTTTAAATTAATTGTTTTTCTTGGAAAACATCAGGTAACAAATATAAAGTGTCATGACAAATAATGAGACACAGCAAAAGAAAGGAAACAGCCCCAGGTATTAGTGTAGCACTAATGTCAACAGCTCTGTTTTCTGCTTTTTCAATAAGGGACCTCACAACTTGATTTGCATTGAGACCCGTTAATTATGAGACCCATTAATTAGGTAGCCAGCTATGTCCCTTGCTCCATTTGAGAAACAGCCCAGTTTTAAATCTGGAACTCATGAACTAAAGCGATAGCTAGGTCTCTAGGTGGAAGAACTCTGCCGCACCCCAACAAATATATATTGGAATTATTTTCCTTACTCAAAGAAACTATGTCAGTTTCTGCACAGTGAGAAAAAGGGAACATCCAGACCATGTGTGAACTATGGGACACACATCTAAGTTGACATTGATATGATGCAAACCATTGTTCTCTGGTTAGAGTGGATGCATACGGAACCAGGTAATTGATGGAGTGCCCGTTAAATTCTGGCTTATAATGGATCCACTCTCTGACCGCCCACGTGCTTGTCAACTTATTTCTCTGATTCCCAAGTATGAAATTTATGCTTACATATAATACATTTGGAGTAACACCCATAAAAGGGCCCTAATATTTTAATGAGGAAGACAGGTGAAATCCTCTGAAACCTCCCAGTTGCCGACATTTTACGTAGATAAAAAACAAAATCCTACCTCATTAAGCGTGCACGTTTGTTGTGTGTGTGTGTGTGTGTGTGTGTGTGTGTGTGTGTGTATGGCAGATAGTAATGCTACTATTAAAGTTCGAGGATGCATGCATGGGTGAGTGATCCAGTCAGAAATTTGATTCACAAGTTGTTTCTCAGAAGAAGAATCCAGATGAACCACAAAAATGATTACTGCCAGCTCAATCAAATAGTAATCCTGATTGGAGGTATCATGTCACATTTTGTAGCATGGCTGAAGCAGATTAGCAAAGCCTCAGGTATGTGGTATATGATCATTAACTGATTGAATACATGTTTTTCTATTAGAATCAAAAGAAATAATCAGAAAGTTAACTTTATGTGCAATGGACAACAGAATTACTCAGGGTTTTTCCATACAGCTGTATCAGTGCTCATGCACGCCATCATAATAAAATGTGAAGAGTCCAGGCCATCTAGACATCACGTGGTACTTCACTTTAATCCACTGAATTGATGACATCATGTTGAGCAGGCAAGATGAGCAAGAGCTGGCTTCTAGCTTCTACTGCTGTAGGCTCAGTAAGACACAGGAACTCCAGAGGATGGGAGGGAAACCTTACGAAGATTCAGGATGCAATGTTCAGTTAGCTCCAGTGGTCCCAGGTATGCCAGGACATCCCCTCCAACATAAAAGTGAAAATATTGCCTCTTGTATCTGCTACACAGAAGGAATAACAATGTCTGGTGTGTTATTTAAAACCTGAAGGCCCTAAAGGAGAAAGAGGGATTTTTATAAAACCAGGAGTTTTAGTTACATATGTATACATGTGCCATGCTGGTGTGCTGCACCCATTAACTCATCATTTAGCATTAGGTATATCTCCTAATGCTATCCCTCCCCCCTCCCCCCACCCCACAACAGTCCCCAGAGTGTGATGTTCCCCTTCCTGTGTCCATGTGTTCTCATTGTTCAGTTCCCACCTATGAGTGAGAACATGCGGTGTTTGGTTTTTTGTCCTTGCGATAGTTTACTGAGAATGATGATTTCTGCAGATGTACCCTAAAACTTAAAGTATAATTTAAAAAAAACAGGAGTTTTTTTTTTCTCTCTCATTTATATATCATGTCCATCAAAACATACCATTGGTCATTTTGGTAAAACAATAAAATAAAACAATGCAACATTTGCAAAATTCACATTCATCTATGTATATAAAAGTTATCTTGTGTAAAATAAAGAAATGAGGAGGGAGAGAAGACAGCATTAAAGCAGCAAGGATGTGGTGGTCATGGAATCAAATTGTTCATTACTTGAAGATGTACCTTGTTTATAGGAACAGAATTATGAAGTATCAGGTCAATTTTTTTTTTGGTATTATATACTGTCCTCTATTATATCAATTTTTCTCCATCTTCCATTTTCAACTGTGGTGATGTGTCTGTTTCATTGATTTGCTGCTCATCAAATCTGAATCTGATCTGTTCCGTTGGTAAACTGTCAATCACAACAGACTTTCATTAGTTTACAAAGTGGTGCACACCTCTTGGTCTTAAAGTGCAGCATAGAATTATGTTACCCTGAAACCTGCAATCTAATATGATAATTTTATCTGCCCTGAACCCTTCCTTGTTTTTTCACTCACCATGGTAAACAGCATAGTCTTTTCAGCTGTGGGTTCCCAAACAAGGACCAGTTTCTCACTGAACAACAAAACTAGTAGAACAAAGAGAAGCAGAAAACACACAGCTGGAATGGAACCTATTCATGTTACCCTTTAAACATTTTAAACTTTTGTTTGCTTTCCCTGAGGATAGCTTTGCCATCAAGTTTGATGATTTTACTAAGATATATCTCAAAGTTGATCATTCCTGGCTAATTTTAATTTGTTCCTCGTCTGAGATGATTTCGTCTTTATCTTTAATTCCTTTCATGACTTCAATTAACCCTCATTGCATTTTTTTTCTGTTGTTTTGTCATTTTAGTCTATTTCTGTTCTTGATTTTCGCATTTGGTATTGTATTTATTTTCTTTCTTGTTTGCTTATCTCCATATGCTTGTTGGAGAATATATAATTCAGCTGGGAATGTTGTATTACAACTTTATTTTGCTCTTATTTGATTTTTGTTTCTTTGGGGGATAAAGGGCATTCATTTTTATTAGCTAAAATGATATGACTTATACTTCCTGGGTTTTTTTTCTTACAAGATGTTATATTAAATTCTTTTTAAAAACATTCTCTTCTATTTCTACACACACACTAGAGAGAATGCCCCTTTCTGCACTACAGTGACATTCAGTTTCCTTAATGGATGAAGTTGGCCATGGTGGTAAGAGCAGGAAGAGAAGTTTTGGAGGTTCTTCTCTCTCTCTGGTTTCTACAGATTCCTCAATTTTCCCTTTTCTTTCTTCTTTGATTTCACTGTCGTGTTCTCAAGGAGCCCCATTCCCTACCTGCTTCTGCCTTTGAAGCTGTACCTCGTCAAGGCTGTCACCTCCATCACCCTCATTTCAAGCCCCTTTTCTGTAATTGGTATTGGGAACTATGTGTCCCAGAAATGCTTTCACAGTGTTCATGCCTAGTGCCCAACTTCTAAGGAGATCCTTTGTTGTACTTTTTGTCTAAGTTACCACTTTTCCCCTCCTCTTTTTCATGGTTCCTCTTTCACCTCCCTCTCCTGGCTCTCTTACCCACAGGCTTGCAGTGGCAGGGAGAGCTATGCTGGGATTTAGAGTTTGTTTACTACTGATAGCTCGTCTGGATTTTGTGGTGTTCTCTGTCTTCTAGTGATTCTGAAGCTATACATCTTGCATGATTTTATGTTTATTCCTTGTCGAACTTATGATCCTTTTGAAGGGTAAGTGAAGAAATTTAAATTCCAGTGGTTACCTTCATCCTCCAGGTCTGAAGCTCCCTCATTGTTATTACCTTCCTAGGCATATTTGCCTTATAGCAAGTTACCTTTTGCTGTATATTGTTCCTTCACTGTCTTGTCTTTAGATTTCTCTTATTTATTAATTTTAACTGTTCACTTACTAAAGATACTGACCCTTTGCTTTCTTAGTCGCTATTAACTGTGTTTCTATAATCTCTGTTCTTTTCTATTTTAACTTTCTGTATGATGATTCACTCACTCATTTTTAAAAAGTACTTCAGTTAGCAGTTACCTCTTGGGAACTATTTTTTGTACAAGGTAAAAATATAAAATTTAAATTCCATTTGGCACCCATTACAGGGTCAAAGGTCACTAATTCCCCTCAGTGTATTGTTTGGGGGATTTTGTTTTTTAGGATTTAGAATCTAGTGTAATTGAAAAATAGTCTGTCCTTCTTTTTAGATTTTATCTTTGAATTGAGAATTGATTATTAGTTAAAAATACTGCTAGTGATTTCATTTCTGTTTGCTTCTCATTTTGTTACACAGTATAGATTTATTAATACATACAACTAAGATGACTTTATAAAAAAATTTCTATTTATTGAGGTATTCTTTGTGGTCTAGTTTTGAAACATTTTTCTTCCAAAACTTCATGACCCATTTGACAAATGTGTATTCATGGAAGTTAGGGTATATTTACTAAATAAATTCTACTTTTAATATCATGCATTCACTCAATATTATTAACCTACATGCAAGTTCTACATGATCAAAATACATTAGGCCTCAGATAAGTGAACAACAATTCATGTACCTCCCTTCATTTGGTTATCCATTCCACAGGCATTTATGGAGTATCCCCTATGACACCAGAGCTGTGTGCTAGAGTTAAGAGTAAAATCATAGGTTTAATCTGACACCTTCCTGGACTTCTTATTCTTCACAAACTAATGGATGAGAGGGCCCTCAGTCCGTAATCACACAAAGGAGTCATATTTATCAACTGCTATAATGCTTTCCTAAGAGAATGTAACAGAGAAATCTGCCGAGACTTCCTTGAGAACAAGATATTTGAGCTGACAAGTAATATCTGTGGGAGATGAAAGTGGTGGGGACTGGTGAACATTCGGGAGAGAGGTAACAATAAAAAAATACCGTGGGTTGTAGGAACTGAAAAAAGAAATCTCTCTAAACAGAAAGAAGAAAACTTGAAGGAAAATATTTTTAAATAAGACTGCAGAGGTACTTACAAGTTAGATCACACAAGATCTTTGTTGTTGTTGTCCACGTTAAGGATTTTGGACTTTATCCTAAGAGAAATAGAAAGCTGCTTAAAGTTCTTAAGTAAGAAAATGGTCAAATATTTTAATTTCTTTTACTACAAAATATTTTCTCAACTACCAGCTACTCCTGTGTTTGGATGAAAAATGCAAACATTCTGCATATACAAATAATAACATTATTTAGAAATACCAAATTTAAGAATATCAAATAATATTATTCAGAAATAATAAAATAGCTAATAATATTATTTAGAAATGTCAAATATAAGACTAAGTAAATAAAATAAGGAAAACCATAGGTAGTGTGTCAATGAGAAGGCCTCAGTAGCAGAGGTCAAGGAGATAAATAACTTATCCTAAGGTAGTGGGCAGAGAGACAAGAAAAGTGAATAAGGAAAAGCTGTAAAGGTAGTATCTTCAATGAATTGGATATTGAGAATAAAAATTGGAGTGTTACAATATTAATATAATGTATTAGTCCATTCTCACGCCGATGCTAAAAACATACCTGAGACTGGGAAATTTATAAAGAAAAAGAGGCTTAATGGACTCACAGTTCCACGTGGTTGGGAAGGCCTCACAATTATGGTGGAAGACACAAGGCATGTCTTAACATGGTGGCAGTCAAGAGGTAATGAGAACCAAGTGAAAGGCAAAACCCCTTATAAAACCATCAGATCTCATGAGACTAATTCACTACCATGAGAACAGTATGGAGGAAACCATCCCCATGATTCAATTCTCTCCCATGGCGTTCCTCACAACACGTGGGAATTATGGGAGCTACAATTCAAGGTGAGATTTGGGTGGGGACACAGCCAAACCATATCATATAACGTGGTAATGAAAGTCATAGACATGGGTGAGATCACAGACCAGAGTGAGAAGAAATCTCCAGGGCAGTGAATTTGAGGGAACTAAATATTCAATGGCTTGAAAGGACTCAGGGGAGAACTAGGCTGATGGATAGTAGAAATATCAAGAGATAGTTGAGCCATAAAAGCTTAGAGAAAAGAGTATTTTGAGAAGAAAGGCTTAATTATGAGGAATATTTTAGGGCCAATTATAAGGGCCAATTATAGAATCTTGATTATAGACTAAGTATTAGATAATCTTAAGGAATGATTACCAATTATTCAGAGTGTTATAATATTGCATTAGTTATGTATGAATTTATGTGGATGTGTGAAAAAATATTCTGAACGATTTAGGTATGGAATATATTGGTGTAGGTGATTTACTTTAAAATATTTTAGAATATTATAATATAACATAAATTAAATTAAGAGCATGCTAACTGTATTATGTACTGCCTTGAGTCTAAATTACGTGATGGTTGAAATATGTCCTCTGGATTTAACAACTGAGTGGTACAGATATTTTTGGTGGAGTGATGAAAGTCTGATGAAAAATGAAAATAAGGTAAATTAAAAATGGCAAATATAAACTTTCAATTAAATTGTCAGCTTTGAAGAGAAAAAGAAAATTCTGGTTTGTTGTGAAAAAAAGATGGGGGCATCTTTAAAAGCTGATGGAAGTGATCTAGCTGGGAAGCAGAGTAATAATTAAACTGTAGCCAGTTTATTGAAGAGCTCATTGGGACATAAACATTAAATAATTTTATTTTGCCCAGACACAGCTTTTGACTAGACTATGTAGAATCTAGATTTCTCACTGAGTTGTATGTCCCTTAGAGATAGCTTCCTCAGATTCCATAAATCTCCTGACACTTTCAATGACTCTTAAGTCTCATTCCTGTTTATTTGTAAAACTTTAATTACAAACATGGCAGTATGTTGGCCTCTTCCTAATCTTCATGCAAGCTTTGTTTGTGGGGCTGGCTAGTGCATAGAGGTGGTATGGGGGCAGGATGTCACAGTGAGGTGACTTCTTCCTCTCCTTCTTGTAGCTCTGCTGTTGTTAGGAGCAAAAAAGTGGGGGTGCTAGCAGAGGAGAATGTTCCCTTACATGACAGCCATATTGCTGGTAGGAAGCCATCCCTTACCTCAGGCTGGTTCATGAACCCTTCTATTTGATGCTGGTGAACCACGCTTATGTGGTGGCCTCTATTTCGGTTGTATCCACATCATCTTGGAAGTGTAATTGGCTTTACCCGTCTCCATTACTATTGAAGAGTTCTGTAGAGGACCAGCCATGACTCCCTTGCCTTGTCAAAGATAGGCCCTCCACCCTTTCTTGTGTTGGCCACTCTTCAATAGACAGCGGCCACCTAGAAAACCCCATTGTTCTAGCCCATCAAGCTACAAGCAACTCTGAGGTCTTCTTCTACACATTTAGAGGGCTACAGAGAATGGACGTGGTATAGGGATTGCCCCTATTTCTTTCCAGGCACACTAAGTCCCAGGGGCTGAAAGAAATGCTGGCACTTATTATAATACAGGACTTCCAGAATTCAGAAAGCTCTGCAAAAATGGGTGTCCATCTTTATATTCAAGTATTCACCCAAAACTCAGTGGGCTCATAGGAAAACTTCCCATATTGTTCTCATATTCAGAGATGGTCTGAAAAATTGAGCTGCACCATACTCTGTGTCCCCTGGGCCATCTTTCCAGGATCTCTCTGAGCACGCTTTGCTCTAGTGGTGGCACCAGTTTGGGCATGGACATCCAGCAGCTCGGCAAGCACCCCGCTGGAGGATAATTGAAGTCTACTGTTCCAGGATGTGCACATCAGACTTTAAGGGGATTCTCTTAGGACTCCCTTTCAACTGGCTTCAGGGAGAAGTGAGCCTTCTCCCTTATCCCAAGGGAAAAGGGTGAAATGTCCTGCTGCCACTGGGAAGGCAGGGGTATAGTGAGAGTTGGTGAGAAAGAGTCAGTCAGCCAGCTTTTCTGGGAGGTTCCAAATCTAACTACTAGTGGCAAGCTGGAAGGTTTCTTTAGATGTTGTGGTCCTTCATGCCTTTTTTCTCTCAGCCTTGGGCTTCTTTACCTGTAACCAATGTGTGCTGATAAATCAGTGTGTGGTGGGGTGAGGTGAGCATGGGGACTAACTTATAGTATTTGTGGGGGCTTGTGGTATAAATACACCACCATGGTCTATTTGAAGCTGTCAATGCAGTGTTACTGAATATAGATTTGGGAAGAAGGGCACACGATTGGATATTAGGAGCCAGAAGGTGCCAACATTAGCGCAACACTGTCTGCAGTAATGGGGCAGCAATTCAGTATTGAATTGAACTGTAAATGAATTCAAACACAGTTATATTTCATTTCCAACAAGCAATTGCTCCAATGAGCAAACCAGGATGTTGAACACATATTCAATTTTGCCAATTTTACAGGTCAAGCAAAAAAAAAAAAGTTCTACATTTAGTTGGTAGTTTAACATAATCTGTGGGTACTGTTTGTCTAACAAAGATGGGTTCATACATGTATGTGTGTATATAATTGAACAGCTTTATTAAGATATAATTCACTGCCAGGGGCAGTGGCTCATGCCTGTAATCCCAGCTCTTTGGGAGGCCGAGGCAGGCAGATCACCTGACTTCAGGAGTTCAAGACCAGGCTAGCCAACATGGTGAAACCCTGTCTCTACTAAAACACAAAAATTAGCCGGGCATGGTGGCAGGTGCCTGTAATCCCAGCTACTCGGGAGGCTGAGGCAGGAGGATTGCTTGAACCTGGGAGGCGGAGCTTGCAGTGAGTCAAGATCACCCCATTACACTCCAGCCTGGGTGACAGAGCAAGAATCCCTCTGAAAACAAACAAACAAACAAACAAAAACGAACAAAAACAAAAAAACCATATAATTTACGTATCATACAGTTCATCCATTCATAGTATACAATTCAATGACATTTAGCATATTGACAGAGCTGTGCATCCTTTACCATGATCAGACTTAGAATATTTTCACTATCCCCAAAAGAAACACTGTTCTATTTAACTATCACCCCCTAATCCATCCATCCACTCCAGCCTTAGGCAATCACTAGTCCACTTTCTATCTCTAGACACTAGCCTGTTCCGGACATTTCATACACATGAAATTATATCATATGTGACCTTTTCTGTCTAGCTTATTTCACTCAGCATAATGTTTTCCAGGTTCATTCATGTTGCAGAATTTGGTATTTCATTCATTTTCATGGCTGAATAATATTCCTTGGTGTAGCTATTACCACATGTTACCTGTGTATGCATCATTTGATGGACACTTGTTTTGTTTCCACGTTTAGCCATTATAAATAATTCTCCATTAACTTTTGTGTACATTTTTGTGTGGACATTTTTTTATTTCTTTTGGGTATATACTTGGGAGTAGAATTTCTGGGTCATATGGTAAGTCTATGTTAAACTGTTTGAGGAACTGCTAGAGCATTTTCTAAAGCCATTGCCGGCCAGGTGCAGTGGCTCAGGTCTGTAATCCCAGCACTTTGGGAGACTGAGGCAGGTTGATCACCTGAGGTCAGGAGTTCGAGACCAGCCTGGCCAACATGATGAAACCCCGTTTCTACTAAAAATACAAAAATCAACCGGGTGTGGTGGTGTAATCCTAGCTACTAGGGAGGCTGAGGCAGGAGAATCGCTTGAACCCAGGAGGTGGAGGTTGCAGTGAGCCAAGATCACGCCACTGCACTTCAGTGACAAGAGCAAAACATCTCAAAATAAGAATAAGAATAATAAAAAAACAAATAAAATAAAGTGGCATTACTTTACATTCACATCAGCTGTGTATGAGGGTTCTAGTTTCTCCATATCTTTTCTGACACCTGTTGTCAGTCTTCCTGAGCATGACCATCCCAGTGGGTATGAAATGGGATCCTTGTGGTTTTGATATGCATTTTCCTGATGGCTAATGTGTCTGTGCATAATTTTAGATAGATGCATAGCTGTCATCATATTTTATATATATATATGTATATCTTATTTTTAGTGCCATCTTTGTCTTTTTGCTTTTCACATGACTCTGCCATTTCTCTATCTTTTCCCCAACACTCATGCCTGCCCAACCTGCCTAGATCAGGTATTCCAATTTTACCCACTAGCATGTATCTTTCCATATTTGTCAACTGTTCATATACTTATATCATATACATGTCACCTGTTCATATACTCATATATGCATATATACCCATATAGTATGTGCATATATACTTATGTTTGTTTACATACATATATACTTTGTCATATAAACACATTTTTCTGCATATCACTTTCTTCACTGAATTATTCCTAATATGAATCTCTCCAAGTCAACAGACATAGGATGAACTCATTACATGTAGTCTCTTCAAGATACTTCATAGTTTGAATTTACCATAATTTCCCCAGCCATTTCCTTATCCATGGATACTAGCAAAATTTTAGTTAATTTTTCCTTTGAATAGTGCTATAATAATCATCCTTGTACACATGCTCTATGTATGGAGGCTTTTGTGTGTATGAGTTTGATTCCAGGATAGTATATCTGAATCAGAGTCTATGTGTTTTTAATTGTACTCGATATGGCCTGTTCTCTTTTCAGAAAGGCTATAGCATTGCATATTTTCACTAGTAACGTATGAAGGCATCTTTTCTTCCCATCCCAACAGTCGTAGATGTGATGGTTCTTTTTAGTTTCTGTCAGGTTTACGGGTATATTTTGAGATTTCTGGCAACTCTAATTAGCAATTCTCAAGCAAACAATGCATTTGAGTCACTGATGATATGGTTTATTATCCATGAGCATTTGCTTGTCAGTGATAAACCTATTCGAGTCTTCTGACTCTTTTTCCGTTGGTGTGTTTGCCAGTGTTTCCCATCAGTATGGCTTAGCTACTTTATATTATATACTTTTAACTATTGGTGACATCTGTTTAAGAAGATTTTCCTACACTTCTGTAGATCTATTTATTGGTTCACAGTATTCTTTCTGAAACAAATATTTTCAGTTTTATATAGCCAATCACACATGTTTTTATTGCTAAATTACATACAGAGTGTCCTAGACATTTTTAAAGATTTTAAGGTTTTAAAAAATTTAAGTTCTTAATCTGTATTGTATTTCTTATTTGAATATGGTGAAAGATAGGAGTGTAGTTTTATTTTCTTCTAAATGAATTAACATTTTCTTCCAAATGTCAGTTTTGCTAGCATTATACTTTTAAGAATACATATTAATAAATGACACACTGATCATGTATTTAATTATTCTATCTATCCATATAAATATATATGTGTGTATATATACACATATTGTTCTCATGATTTGTCTGGTTTTCCTATAATCATATCATATCAATATGATTTTATAATATTTGGTTTAATGTATTTGATTATATAATGTGCCCCAAAATTAGGCAAATGGAGTCCCCCCTCATTGCCATTTATTCAATGGTCACTTTTAGGTATTTGTTTTTCCATACAAATTTACAGATTATTCTATCCAATTAAAAAATCTATTGGTATTCTAATTAAATTTGGATTCTACTTCTATATTAATTATGTGAAAACTGACGGTTTTTAAGTTTTTCCATCAGGAACACACAATATAGTTTCCATTGCTCAGATATTTTGTGACTTTTGATATGTTTTTATACCTTTCTTCAAATGGTTCTTTGTCTTTCTCTATAAATTTATTTTGAAGTATTTTATATTTTTAACTTTGTTATTGAAATAATTTTTGCACATGTAGCACGTGTTTAAGCTTGTGGTTGGGGATTAAACTCTATATTATGTATTATAAATAAGAAGGTAGATACATCCTTGAAAAACACTCTGTGCTTTAAGATGAGATGGTTACACTACAGGCCTCTCAGGCACTTATACCAGCTAAGGCAAATGTGGGTAGAATTACTTTTACTAATTAATCATGTTTCTTCTTCTTTCTCTCCATATCAGTAGACAAAGTAAATTTTTACATGAATTATGTGGACTCTGATGTAATGTCACAGTATTTGAGTGTTTGTCTGCAGTATCATTATCAAGCATCAAATGCTGAAGCCAGCATGATAAAAATCTAACTTAGCAAAGAGAATAAAACTGTTGACAACTGACAGACTTGAAGTAGAAGTGTATATTTTTAATTGCATATAAGTCTCCTCAAATCCTAACTTGCTATTAAATGTTGGTGAAGAGAAATTGGAATGACAGAGGTTCTTGGTGAAAAAGAATTATTTATTCACATATTCATTAATTGAATCATTTATTTATTTACCGAATAATTACTGAACGCCTACGATGTACAAGGTGAAAGTCTTTGCCTTCTTACAGCACTCTTTCAAGCCCAGGGTTTTGGAGGAAATCATTTAATGAATGGGTTGAATGAAACAGGATGATGATGAGTGCTAATGAGAAAAATAGAATAAGGTAGAGGGATGGAGTGTGGAGGGAAGCAGGATTCAGTCTCTGATAGAGGTGCCTAGAGAAGGTCTCACTGAGTGGTCATTGGAGCGAAGATCTAGAGAAAGCGAGAGTGAACCACAAAGATTTCATAGGGGAAGAAAATTCCAAGCAGAAGAAACGGCAAGGGTAAACTATGTTATTTTGTTTGAATAGATATTTAAACTGTTAGTTCCATTTGTTCTCCTGTAATGCATTTTCATCTTTCAAAGGGATTACGACAATGATTGTTTCCAGATACTTTGACACTCACTTCCCTCAAAAGCTTTCAGTTTCTCCTCAGAGATTACAGCAGGGTATTTGCTGTCAATAACTGGCATATCTAATTGTATTGGGACTGGGTGCCTGGTAAATACTGAGTCTTGGTCTTTATAAAGCTAGACTGTCTGTATTTCAATGTCACTATGGTTTTACATGTCTAGAGGTAGAAGTTCAATGTATCTTTGACAGATTTCCTTGTATTTGGGGAAAATCACTAATTGGAGTCTCTTATTTACACGAATATAAAACCAGTAGCCTCATTGTTCTTGGGAGAAAGTGTGATGTCATCATTAACCATAATTCATTAACTCAACTTAGGTTTACTAACAGAACTATGTTTCTGAAATGTTGGAGATTTATTCCCATCTCTTAAATCCGAATTTAAGGTGCAATATGCTCAAAATACATTGTTATTGGTAAGTGTGCATGCTTTTTTGTTTAAGCGCTTGATCCCATGGCTTTGGGAGACCAGACCAAGGCAATCACACATATTAGCCTGCATGTGCTGACAGTTGCTTTTCACAGTAGGGGATAAAACAGGTCAAGAAATTAGTTGAGGTTGATGCAGAGCTGACTCCTCAAAAGTTGCCATTTCTTAATCATTTCTAAATGTCAAGTTTATCTCAGTTAAGAGGTTTTGTGGGAGGGTGAGTGTGGCTGTAGCATGAATAGATACACATCTGACAGCTATTGTTGAAAGAATGCCAGCTATGTTATAGGATTATTAGATGATTCTTTGCTATAGGCCTACTGTGACCTGAGAAGCTCAGCTTAATTCAGGGTCCACTGACCATCCTCCTGTGGTCACACTTGTGTGATTATCACTCAGCAGGGTGCAGAGCCCAGTCAGAGCATGGCTGATATTCAATAGCATAGTAAGGAATTGCCTGTGAGAACAATAGGTGCCACCGGTCTAGCCTAAAAGACAGGAAGTACAATGGGAATGATGTTTACAGAGAGCACTGCGTGAGAAAAAAACGTGAGATGACACTAAGAAGATCTTACAGTCATTGTATGTGCTTATATGTGACCTAAATCACTGTTGATATTTAACTGCATTCTATTTTATTGATGTAGATGAGGTGGCCTGAAACTTATCAATTGTTCAAATAAAAAACCATACAGTCTAATTATTTTTAATTTACACGGTCTCTAGTTTTAGCTGAAAAGATATTGTCTTACACAAAACATATTTTTGATATTATTTATTCTTTGTAAAGCTGCCCCTTAAAATCAAAATTAAAATACCGTAAAGTGAAACCATAGAAATAAAGGATCAAAAACATCAACCTGGAATCATTTTACAAATAACTTCAATGGTTCTAGAAGAGAGATTGGCAAACCATGAACCAAATCTGTCAAGCCACCTGTTTTTGGAAATAAAGTTTTATCGGTACATAGCTCCTCTCATGCCTTTATGTCTTGTTTATGACCACCTCACGCTATGTAAGCAGAACTGAATATTTGCTAAAGACCTGTGTGGTTTGCAAAGCCTAAAAATTTACTATCTGGAGCCAGAGAGGAAGAAATTACACATCCTTGTTCCAGAATACCTCATTATATCTGTTTCCCCCCCTAAAAATTCTGCTTTTAGATTGCTTATGGACATGCTGATATTATGGGTTATAGAAATGATTTTCATTTTCCCCATATATTTTTCACTCTGATAATTGCATTTTTCTGTGATAACATGTTGTTTTTCATGGTATCTCTTTTTATGGTTTAATCCAGGTTTTTTTTCTTCTCCCTACAATTCAAATCTTCTTTTCGACCTCTCTTACAATAGGTCAAATGTCCTAACAACGTATTCTTCTTCCCTGATATAGGGAGAAATTCCTGTATGTTCCCTACTGCTCATTATCATAAATCCAGAACTGAAAGTGCCAGCACCGCCCTTCATTGCTGTGTGCCTCGCAGTGCCTTTCAGGTTGCCTTTTCTCCTATAGTAAGATTACAATTTAAGAAAGAGTTAAAATCTGCCCTTCTTCTGTTTCCCAGACTTCAAAGCCACCAGAGATTCCAATAATTATCTATTTTTTTTAAGATTCAATCCCATATGAAACAATACAGAAATATTTCCACTTCCACAAAGAACAATTTTTTTCCATGTAGAGTTGTTCTAAAATGAGTCATCTTAGGTTGCCATCTCCAAATCAATATACACATGAAGCCTTTTAAAAATATGAAGAATATGGCCAGGCACAGTGGCTTGCGCCTGTAATCCCAGCACTTTGGGAGGCCGAGGTGGGCAGATCACCTGAGGTCAGGAGTTCAAGACCGGCCTGACCAGCATGGTGAAACCCCATCTCTACTAAAAATACAAAAATTAGCTGGGTGTGGTGGTGTGCACCTGTAATCCCAACTACTTGGGATGCTGAGGCAGGAGAATTGTTTGAACTCAGGAGGCGGATGTTGCAGTGAGTGGAGATCGTACCGTTGCACTCCATCCTGGGAGAAAGAGCGAGACTCCATCTCAAAAATAAATAAATAAATAAATAAAATATGAAGAATATAAAATGATAATACAGTTTTATTTTAACCAGTGTGATGCTTTAACATAAATCATTTTCATTGTTTAAGACTGTCTGGCTCTAGAATTAAAATGGCAAGAGGGAGAGAGACCATGGTTTCCTTTGCCTCTGTCATAAATTCCCCTTTAATGTTTTCAGATTTCTTTCCTATGTATGTTTTCTTGCACTTGGGGAAAATACATTTCACAAAGAGCTCCTCTGCATGTCTGTCTTCTTTGAATATCTTGGAATGGAAGCTCCTTGGAGGGTGGACCTGTATCTTTTACATGTTAAAGACCTGACACAAAATGAGCCCAAAATAAATGTTAAAACATCATTGGACCAAACACTTCAATCATTCTCTGTTTTGAACAAGAGGACTGGGGAGGCAGTGACATCTGGATCTACTTGAGATGTCAATACCCTTGGGTGTCTTTGTCAAGCTACAGCCTGAGGCCCCTTCTGTTTAAGAGATAATAGAAAATATTAAATGTACTGACAGGTGTCTTGAGCAAGAAAGGAAGAGAAATGAAGAAAAGTGCCTGTGGGGCAGAACATTTGAGAAATAGTTTCTTACGAAGAGTAGGAAAATCATACAATGGAAAATCACCTTTTTACAAATTTGTGTGAAAGGTAAACAAAACAGGTTTAATTAAGTTTAAACACAGAATACATGTTATTGTGAGGGAAGAGCAGAACGCCTGGCAAAATGATGCTTTCCAGAATGCAGACCGCTGCCCTGAGCATGAAGTAGTCAAGGCTGTGAGACATGGTGACAAGAAGAATTCCTTGAAAACTGAAAGCATTCATTCTGTAAGATGTCTGGCACAGAGAAATGCAAACATATCTAAAGTATAGACACCTCTCTTGGTTACAAAAATAAAATTAATGGAGAAAAAGTGAAGGTCCTTGTAATTGAGTTACTAACTTCTGAGCTAATCTAGCAGAGTCTTTGGAATTGAAAGTCAGAAATGGGGGAAGAGTTGGTGTTCCCATGGAAGAGGAGGGAACTGAATAAACATTTTTGCCAGTATAGATATTTCTTTGCATTATTTATCTTCTATCTTCTTTATTTTCCCATAATATTCCAAGATAAATATACCAGCATTTTTCATAAAAATCAAGTGCATAATCAAGATATTAGAATGAAAATTTAAGAATAACAATAAACTTTAGGCCAATAGCTTTTAAATTGATCATGATGAAGGAATCTGCATGTCTCTAAGATAAAGCAAAGTTCCTCCTCATTCTCCACCCTGAAGATAGCTCTATCTACCTGCCTCAGCGAAACAAATCTTCACACTTTGTTCTTGCAAAACAAATACAAAAACAAAAACCGTATTTAATTGTTAATTAAGAGTAAGTTTCAGAACCACTGGCTAGTTGAGGTTGATTTCCTGTCTATCTATTTAAAACAGAATTTGCTTGTGTTACTCAGTGCTTAATTTTAACACGAAATTGTTCAAATTAGGAGTGTGCTTGTTTCTTTAGAATTTGCTATTTCTTACTACCTAAGAAATTGCTTAAGGCCCTGCTGATAGAAAGGAGAAAAAAGAGTATGTCTTGATAATGTGTTGAGTAACAACGTTTTTATCATCATGTGCAATTTTAGCTGCAAGAAAATCATGTCTGATCACAACCTGCAAATTTTCATATTCTGAATTCAATTTTTGCCATCAAATAAATGTTAGTTAATTGTGAAAATGCAGTGCTTACCTATGTATTCCCTGTGGAGTAACAACCAATCTGGCATCAACAGGAAAAGGTAATGAGAAGTGTAATTACCTAATATAAATGAACTCAGGAGTGGCTATTTTCTATTTGAAAATACCACCTGTTTCTATTAGCATTTCCAAGCTTCCCAGTTACGGTGCACTGTTCAGAACTGAGTATGGAGATAGCACCCAGCTGTAAACTTAGGAATCATGCTTGTTTTGAATGCATAAACATAATAAGGATAATATAAATAAAGTTAAGTGCTGCAAGTTAATCTTAACTAGTAAATGAAAAACGTAATTTTATTATGTCAGGATATTTTCTTAAATAGAAAGCTAAGTTTATAATAAAACTTGAAATGAGAGATAAAACATGGTACTGTGAAGGCATGTGGTTAATAAGTACAACTGAGAGTTTGACAAATTTCTCTTGTCAAATGAAGCTGGAATGCATATTCTTCAAGTTCCATACATTTTGTGGCATTTTAACTTTCCCCTTTGCACTTGTGAAAAGCAAAACTCTTTTATCATGCCTTGTAATATACAGATGACAGCTCCGTGACTGTAGACTAGATTTTCTATTGACAGATAAGTTGAAGTGCCCTTGAAATTAAAAAAAATTAGCCTTTATTGTTACCTACATTTTTTGTTCTGTTAACAAATTGAGCAACAGTGCTATTCCATTCCTTTAGTAGGATAGCAAAAGAGTTGTTTTCAAATTTAGGCTCAGAGTAAATATCTGTAATTCTTTAACACATTTTTATGCAAAACCATTATGAACACAGAAAATTTCAATGTTTCTGTGAAATATTTTGAGAATTTGGTATGAATACAATAATTAACATTCATGGAATTCTGTATATACATTTACAATGCAGGGCATTTTCCTGTAGCTATGCTTTGATAGTCTTCTCACATTAAAATTCAGCAAAGTAAATTGAGCACAATAGCAATAGTAAAATTTTACAGTTCAATTAGGTGTCTGTTTATACATTTAGCTCATGTGCCTTTCTGAAGAAGCACTTTAGCAAAGAACATATCACATAGGGTTTATGTTTTAAGTGAATCTGATTACAAATGAAAAAATGAATTAACTTTAGTAAATTGCTTTTGAATAACAAACATATCTCCAAGAGTTGAATGTGAAAAGGTTGCAAAGTTTGTTCCCTGATAACATCTTACTTTGCTATGGTCCCAGTTGAGCCCAGGACCAATAGAAATGTTCCCAATGCTTGGTAGTTCCCTTTCTCAGATATGTCTGTTACATAGGCACTTACTAAATATTTGAGAAAATAATTTACATAGACTCATCTGTCAATCTGTGTATTTAAACTGTATCTCCCCTCTTCACCTCAATAGACAAGCACACCCCTTAAAATCAGTCTTTCCCTTCAACATTTAATCAAATTTGTTGTACTCTCTTTTGAAAAATTGAACCACATATCTTCAAAAATAATAAAATCAACTACACCGACTCTACTTCATCTTCCCCTCCAGCTATTACACTCTCTCCTCTTATTTTTAGACAATCTTTTTGATAGTGTTGTCCCTACTCACTATATATAAGTGCCTATCTTCCATTCATTTCTTACTTTTTAATGGATGCCAGTATTCCAGTCTCTACAGACATTTTCCAAAAATGATTTTTGCTAAGGCTACTTATGACTTTCATGTCATTACTGCTAGTAAATATTTTCCAATATTTCAGTCTTCAAAAATACTGAAAATATTCAAGTAATTCCAGCTACTTGAAATTTCAGAATCATCCAAATATGTTAACTGCATCATCCTTTTTGAAGCACTATCTATCCACATGCCCTTGATTTTCTTCCCACATGTTTCTGCTTGGTCCTTCTCTTTCTCTTGATACTTTTCATCTTCTACCTGGATGATAAATTCTGGAAGTACTCAGTTTTTGACTTAATCAAGGCTATTTCCATAAGAAACCTCATAGTTACATTCATATTCATTTCCATTATTACAAGATGACTTTCTGTTTTATATAGGGAGCTCTAGGTTCTCCTATCAGTATCAGATCTACATAACTTACACACATATGATACAAGTGAATTTAAACATATACAAAACTGTGTTCATTTTTCCTCTAACCATAACTATATCCAAGATTCCTAATCTACAACAGTACCACTATGAGTTAAGTTGCTGAAGATATAGCTATCAAGCGTGCTATAGCTGTTTCTCTGATACACTGAACTGGTTTTAGGTTCTAAATATCCCTTAAAAATATGTGCTACTACCTTAGGTTAAGCTATTATCATTTTTCATCTGGATAATGGAAATACTCTCATCTCTTGGTACCTATTCTACCACTGCTCCAAATTTCCCAAATCTTTGTCCACGTTGCACCAGAGTGAATTTTCAAAGCACATATCTGATCATAAAATTCTTCAATTGCCACCCATTGTTGATATAATAAAACCCAAAATCCTGATCACAAAATTTCTCTTCTGTGTTCTTTCCACCTGCACTGCCGGCTCCCACTTTCCTGCTCAGTCTCTGCTTGTGCGCCACACTAACCGGCTGCCTGTTCCTTGAGAGTTCTATGTTTTTTTCCACCATAATTAGGATCACAGAACATAGATTTGGGCCCTATTAATAATAAAAAAGATTTTTTCAAGGCCCCCAATACTTATAAACTGCCTAAAATCTTTGCACAGGAGTGTCAGCACCTCACCATGTCAACTGGCTCATCATGATTCTGGTAACATGAACCTGATTATGGGACGTAGCTACTGCTGACCCTTCAACAGAAATCCTCTTTCTCCAGTCTCTTTTCTAGTTAACTAGTCATCCTGCAAATCTCATTTCAGGGATCATTTTTATAAGGACGTCTTCCTTGCAGTCCCTCTTCTTTCCCTTTAAAAAATCAAGCAGACTCAATTTCCTTGGTAATGTGCTTTCAGTGTGTTTATCTCAGTTTGAAACTTAACATGTGTTATTTTAATATCTGTTCTCTCCACTAATATCTATTTTCCCCACTAAACAGTGGACATCATGAGATTAGGAATCTTACGGATTTTTGTTTGTTTTTTTTTCTCCAAAAATATAACCCAAATCCTAACACATAGCAGGTGGTGCGTAATCATTTGTTCAGTGAATCAATGAATGAATCATTAAACTGATGAATTATAAAATGTCCATGTCTTAAGACTGAGAGTCATTTTTTCCTCTTGCTTTCATTTTGAACCAAGGGGGAGTGGAAGAAGGGTCAAGCCACATGTATGAAGTGGGATTGTGAAATGAGGCTTTGTCCAAGAGCCAAACTTTCATCTCCTTACGTCTTCATTTGAATTTCCCACAAACCATGTTCAAGACAACTGAAAAAAACAGAATTCTAGCACAGAGCATCTTCTTTTCTTGTCTTACTTCATAACGGAAATAGAGTTAACAGAAAAACCACACAAACTGTAAAAAGGCACATTGCACAAGAGAGAGCCAAAATGATTAGGCCGCGTCTGCACTAACCTCCACTTTCTAATCTCATCAGTAAAATGAATCCCTTAGCTTCTCATGGAATATGAGAATAAGAGTCAGATAAGCAGGGGCTGAAGGCTACTGCCTAGTCCAAGTCTGGGCAGACCCTCGCCTGGGCAGACTACTTACAACTTCGGGTCACAGAATATGTTTGCCCCTGTCTGGCAAGGCCACAGCCCGAAATATCCTCTAACATACGCTTTCCCTTTGGGGACCCATACAAATGGCTGGGGAACATTTTTGTCATATGACAACAACTGCCAGCTCTAGAGAGTTAATTCTCAGTTCCTCCCTCTACCCATTCTGTATCTCCAAGGTTTTACAAATGTGACTGCAAGTTTAATTATCTCTAGAACTTAGATGTCATTTTGGAAAGAAGGAATAAAGGAAGCTTTTATCCTGAACCGGTTCACTTAAATGATTTCATTTATCCGGAAATGACTAACATTGTACTTTTGCAGAATAGGTGCTCAAAATAAAAATAAGTTATATAATAACTAAAAAAAATTAACATCTAAGATTGGGGTTACAAATATTAAATTTTAGAACTGGAGATACTGTTCTCTCTAAAAACCAAAGTACTTTCACGTGTGGTAAGTATAGAACTAGCCTAGGCTACAGCAGATTATTATTTTTTTTATTTATAGAAACATCCAATCAGTGACATAAGCTATTCTAGTTATTGTCTAACTAAGTCCAACTCTGTTTTCTTCTCCACTAATTTGTAGAAATGTATGCAGGTCTTGTTATGGTCCTTCATGTTACTAAACATGAGTTGAAAAGTCTTATGATGAAATGAATGCTAAATCAAAGACCAGGAGAATTATTTTATTTTAGACTGAATTGTAAATTAAAATTAAGAAAACACTATTCATCATTTTGTTTTAAAAGTAAACCTTATCTGACCAAAACACACACACACACACACACACAAATTCATTCAACGTTATCTACAAACTCTGTTTCTCACTGACCTTTTAAGTTAAAGAAAATGATATTCAGAAAATCAATAGGAAAAAAAAGTGACAAGACCACTAATGTTGATTGCATCAAATCCAAAAGGGACTTTTAAGAAGTCATTAGCCAAAGAGTCAGTGTGTCTGCTTTTTAGTCAGATTTACCTATCTAACATTTGACATTCTAGTGAGCCAGGCAAGCCTACAAGGACTGTTGCTGTAAGTCAGAATAGTTTAATTTATAGGATAAGAATTTGACCAGGGGATATAGTGCGACCTCACATTCATTTATACCAAATTTAAATATGTATCTGTAATTTCACAGAAGTAAACCAAATTTAAATATATTTCCTTAGCTTCATTGTAGTAAACCACAAATCTATAGAAGTACGTCTATTACTGGGGACAGCAAGAAGTAGTTACTCTCACCTAACTAGGTGTTATTGATAGAAATAAAACCTTTCTATCAATCCATAGAAGGGAAATAAAAAAGAAAATTAGCTATCCTCAATGCATTGTAAAACAATTTACATTAAATTTTTTTATTTTTGAAAATTAAAGATTATATGTAGCAAAACCAAAGGCCCTTGCTGTCTACTTTCCTTTGAAATATTTAATGTATTTATATTTTATGTGTAAATAAGACAATGGCCACACTTAGAAATATGAAATTGTAGAGTCGTATTATTCCTAATATTCTGGAAAATGTTCTTGAGTTTAGGTAATGAATCACTTCAGAATTCCAATGGTCCTCTGGTAAGGCTTAGTCAGGTTTGAAGGATATAGCGATTGCTGAAATAATAATAATAGTAGTTGTGTTTTAGCTATCTGCTCCTATTCTTGTTCCTGTTTCTTCTCAGATTTATTTTAAATTACTTAGATATAACCTAGCAATTATAGGTTTAATTTTCTCTAGTTTATGAAAATATCTGAAAGACTTTGAAACCAACTAGGTTTTCCTGTTCACCTTTAAAGGGAGACACATTTACAATTGATGCTCATCCCCTTGTCTACAATTGGGCCATGGTATTTCCCGGATACACACTGGTCTGGATGGTAGCTCGTTATGCAGGCCCACAAAAGAATTAACTGTGAAAGACAAACAAAGATGGACACCAGGTAAAGCAGGAAGGGCAGATTTTACTCAGTAATAACTACCACAGTGGGGAATAGGATCCAATGTGATCCAAACAGCTTCACCAAAACAAAAGACTGGGATTTTTCACAGACTGTGGTGTGCTCAGGGGAAGGACTGCAGGAGGTGGGTCCACATGACTTGGTCATCTGGGCTTGGTAATTGGTACTGAAGTGGAGGAGAGACAAATTTTTCCTATCTTTTGACAGGAGGCAGTGGTGGAAATTGGAGCATGGAACCTATTGAAGTTAGTTTCTTATCCTCCCACAAGGACTGACAGAGAGACAGAGTGTGAGAGAGAGAATTTTCTCCTTGAAGGTTTTGTCGGGAACAAACAGTAAATTCTCCTAGGGACTGTGAGGTTTCTCAGGCTGGAAATTAAGAGAGTTGGAGTCATCAACTTAGGGATGTGGCCTTGAGCTTCTAGAAAGTATGCTAGTGTTAGTTCAAGTCTCAACGTGGCATATCTGAGAGGGGCAGGCAAGGGTGGGTGAAAATCATTTGTGCTGAGAGTTTGCAGTCTTATAGGCCACAGTTGAGGTCTAGTTGAGAAGAGGACGCCGAGGAGCCTGACTAGAGTTGGCCAAGGAGAGTCTGTTCAAGAAAGGAGTCATTGTGAAAACTGAGCTTCACATCTGTGAGACAAATGACTTTTGACACAAGATGATCGGACATTTGTGCGGTGGATTTTCAAAGGTAGTAAAATGAATGAGATTAGTAATCTAAACGTTTCTAGCATGATGTTTTGGAGTTAGTGTATATCAGTTGGGGCTCAATCACGTTCAAAATCCTCATATATGTGTTTTATAGGATGTTTTCTAATGCAATTTTAGCAGCTGTTTTTCCAGTCTCTGGAAGGCTATTGTCTTCTCATCTGATGCTGGAGCTGGAAGAGTAGGCAGTTGGTAAGAAAAGATGGAAGGTGTTGGAGACCAAGAACAAGCTAGAAACCACACATACAAGCTGCAGACCTTAAGGATGCTCCGAAGCCAGTGTTAGTATTTGTTCTCATTGACCTCTGTGGTATAAGCGTCCTGAAGAAGCTGGGCCCTTTATCATGGAGGTAAATATGCATAGCTGCCCCATGAAAAAAGGAGAATCCAGAAGATGGAGCAGTTTCAGGCCTTACTGCTGCCAAGGAGGTAAGTCAGCAACAGTGTGTGAGCAGCTACATGGCTGCTGCTCTACTTCCATCCTCCAAGTCTTCAGGAGAATCTCTCTTGTGGCCTCTCCTAACCAGAAACACACAAGAAACAAGATTCTGGAAAGTATGGTTCAGCTTAGCCAGGTTGACGCATGATGTCATCACGGTCTACCCCTTATCAACCTGGCAGCCACACACATCTCCTTCAACCATAACTAAACTATAAAGATAGTAATAACCAAATCACACTTATGCCTAACATGAAACAATTATCCTACAATTGAAAAAATGCCAGTCCTTCCCCAGAATATGTTAAAGTCCCCTGTTAGTCTTTGAGAGATGTTTATTCTTCTCCTAGTTGAAATGTTCTCCTTTTTGATATCCTTTAAATTCACAACTGAGATATAGCTACAGTTTATTAACACATCTTATTTTAAATGATAAGGAGATGAAAGAGTAAAAGTAGGATAAGCAAAGCAGTTGTTTATAATATATACAACATAATCATATAAAATAAGAAAGAGATACTTGTAATTATTACCATCCTTGTTTTTGCAACTGGACAAGTAGTCATAGCTAGTATTTACAACTATCTGCATCATAGCTAGTATTTACAACTATCTGCTTCAACTACCCATTCCATATGCTCTTTGCCATCAACAAACATTCAGTTGCATCTTGCCTGGAAGTGTAATCCAAGTCTGTATTCTGGAGGATCCTGGCCATTAGTGGTACAGATTGTACTGGGTTGTATAGTTTTCCATTTACTTTCATCACAGACCATGGAAATACCAAGATGAAACGTAGTGCGTTTCTTGAAATCTAGACATTTCCATTCTTAGTTTATATTGTGCATTAGAAAACTAATATTCCTTGATACTCAGGCTCAATCCTGTTTGCCAGTATAGCAACCCTTATTTTCCTATTGATTCGCTGGCCTGGGGAGTCTAAGGGGGCCAGGAGGCAGTCTCAAATTCCAGTTCAGTGAAATAATTGTGTGTCCACTTGTGAAGCATCTCTTTGGAACAAAGAATCCCTTGGACAGAAGACTCTAAAATAATGGGCTACAGGAAGCGTACACTTTGTTAGTGGTTAATTAGAAATAATAGTAAGATAAATCATTCCCATTTCAACCTTTGCTTGACAGAACCATCGATCCTAGCTATGGAAGAAATTTAGTTCCTGGATTTAGAATATCTTCTACATTCTGGAGGACATCACCAGAGCTGTGTGAGTTGTTGTACTCTGCATGAGGACTTATCTGGTCTTCAGTGGACCATTCCTCCACTGTTTCAAGCTTGCTGCTTCCAAGTTATGGAGAATATTCAAAAATCACTGAATTCCGTGACCTTAGACCCATTGTCATACTTCATTGGTGATAAAATGAGTTTCTTGTTCAGAAGACATGCTGTGTGGAATACCATGGGGATGGATAAGACATTAGAAAATGTAAAGATGGCTGGGTCAGGTGGGTCATGCCTGTAATCCTAGCACTTTGGGAGGCCGAGGCAGGCGGATCACCTGAGGTTGGGAGTTGGAGACCAGCCTGAGCAACACGGAGAAAACTTGTCTCTACTACTCTACTAAAAATACAAAATTAGCTGGGTGTGGTGGTGCATGCCTGTAATTCCGGCTACTCGGGAGGCTGAGGCAGGAGAATCGCTTGAACCTGTGAGGTAGAAGTTGCAGTGAGCCAGGATCACTCCATTGCACTCCAGCCTGGGCAAAAAGAGCAAAACTTCATCTTAAAAAAAAAAAAAAGAAAGAAAATGTAAAGATGTAGCACATTGGAGCATGGTACTAAATTTCATATTCATAGTTAGTGTCTTATCTCAGTAAGAAAAAAGGACAGCCTCTTCCACAATAGAATGGTCCAATAGAATCAGTCGGCCACTAGGCTGTCGGCAATCTCTCCATGGAATGACGTCATACTGGGAGCTCAGAATTAGATCCTACTGTTGACAGGATGGGCACATATCAGTGGTTGTATTGAGAGATGCCCTATTGAGTGGCAGTCCATGCTGTTGAGTCCATGCATAACCCAAGCTGGCAAGGCTGCTTTGCTCATGAGCTCTTTGCAGAATGGTGGGAGTACCTGGGGAAAAAGGCTAACTTACAGCGACAGAATGGGTCACTGTATCCACTTAATTATTAAAATGTATCAGCTGAAGTTATCTTTTAGGAAACATTTTATATGGTTCCCCCAAATCTTTACAGTCTGTGCATTCAGAGAAATCAATCCATAACTCTTCCCTAGAACCCTTTATAACCAATTTTTAAATTATTTTTCTGCCTAGCCCCTGATAATTCAGCCAAAATATTAGCCATGGTCTATACAATTTTATAGACCCCTTCCTCTGGGCATCTCTTTTTACAAGCAAAATGAACAAACAGGTTCACTGTTTGAAGTTCTTGCCACTGGGAAGATTTCCCTTCGCCATTGTTGTTTGGGGCAATCTGGAGTGGGGCTGTAGTGCAGGAGCTGTCTACTTTTGGGCAGTACCTTGCAGAACCATCTGTAAACCAACTTAGTTAAGTGTGGGCTAAGAAAGAAAAGGGAACGTAGCAGCAGCAGAGACTATAGGATTTCTCTTCACTAGCTTATTTGTGCCATCAGGACCTGCTCAAACCTGAACTCCTATATACCACTTCCATTTGATGAGATAGGGCTGCTCTGCATGCCTAATTGTGTTTGCCACAAAACATTTACATATTTAAATGCTCACTTCATGATCACTAGCTCAAGTAATGTAGTATCCCAGGGATAAGCATACAGTCTCTATTAAAGCTCAGTAGGAAGCCAAATACAATATCTCAAAAGGAGGATACTTATCCATAGGGATAGCATGGCTTTGCTCCAAATGCTAAGAGTCTGAGCTATGATTTACCAAAAGCTCCAACAGGGTCCCTATCCCCCACTGACATT